>NC_000012.12:76551037-76702552 GCF_000001405.40 Homo sapiens
GGAGACTCTGTCACTCAAAAAATAATACAAACATATATATAGTATATCAAGGAAGAGAGGAAAACACACACACACACACTAGAAACTAGGATGTTTTATAAAAACAACATAGCTTCCTTTATTGGATATACAGAAATGAACTGCTCCCCATGAACCTTACCCAACCCCTAAAAGGGGAAAAAGTTCTTTAATTAAGGATAATAGTTTCTTTCCATTTAAAATCATTTCTTTCAGATTCACTCATTCACTCAATCTTTAAAGCAGTAGTTCTCTACTGAGAGTGACCTTGTCCCCAGGGAACATCTGGCAATATCTTGAAACATTTTTCATTGTCACAATTAAGAAAGATGGTACTAGCATCTAGTGAGTAGAGGCCAGGGATGGTGCTATACATTCTACAATGCACAGGAACACACAACAAAGAATTATCCAGCCCAAAATATCAACAGAGTCAAGTTAAGAAACCCTACTTTAAGAAAACTCTTCAGACTTGTATAGATTTTCTCTGTTCCTCATTCTTATCATGGTGACTGGGCGTAAGATAAAGCTTTCATGGGCATCTGGAGTATTATGATTAGCCTGAATACAGACCCATGGATTGCCCTGGGGATCCTCACAGGCCTCTAAGGTTTGAATATTGGCCCTCACAGAGTCACAATGGCACATGCTGATGAATATGTTGGAACAGTATCCAGAGGATCTCCTAACTTGGCCCCACCCACCTCAGCTCCTGCTGGTACGGATATTATTACAGTCTCGACTACCTCGTCTATCCAGTCCCTGGCTTATACTTAAGGCAACACTAGCTGCTTAACAAATAAACCCCAGATTTTCGGTAGCTTCACACAATTAAAATTTCTCATTAATATTACAATCCATTGTGGGTATTCCTATTTGGTACACAAATTTCTTTCACATGGTAAATTTAGGGACTGTAGAACATTCCAATCTTATGGTTTTACTATCCCTTAAGAGCCTAAACCTCTGCATCTGGCCCTTGAATTAGAAAAGAGAAGGTGAAGAAAGAATACCTATTTTTTCTGCCACTTCAACCCAGAAGTGACAACAAATTGATTTCTATTCACATTCACTAGTGAAAAACTAGTGGCAGGCACAGTGGCTCACACCTGTAATGCCAGCACTTTGGGAGGCTGAGGCGGGCAGATCGCTTGAACTCAGCAGTTAGAGACCAGCCTGGGCAACATGGTGAAACCCCATCTCTACCAAAAATACAAAAAATTTGCCAGGCACGGTGGCACATCCCTGTAGTACCAGCTACTCGGAAGGCTAAGGCACAAGAATCACTTGAGCCCAGGAGGCGAAGGTTGCAGTGAGCCAAGATCCTGCCACTGCACTCTGGCCTGAGCAACAGAGCGATACCCCATGTCTCCAAAAAAAAAAAAAAAAAAAAAAAAAAAATGTTGCAAGCAAGAGGGAGCACAAATTTTTGTGGGCAATGAAATGAATCTGCCCTTCCCACAACCTCTGTCTACTACATGGTCCCTCCCTCACAATAGCAGCCTAATGACAGGCTTCCTGGCTCTCACTCTACTAACTTCTATTTCCTTCACTAGTCATATGTGAGAACATCCAGATCTCTTTCAGACCATGTAAGAACCATGGAAAACTCACAGAGTGCTATCTCTGGCCCCCTCTCTGCTTAAATATGCCATTTTCTTCCCTTTTGGCCACCCCAAGTCAGCATAGGGCCAGTGCAATAGGCTAGTAAGTGGCTGTACCAGTTCTGAACTTTGGCAGTCTGGCTCCAGGGTTCGTGCTATTCTGCCTCTCCAGATTTCTAAAATAGGTGATAAGACAGAGCACTTCCATTACTACCAATGGATATTTGTAAAGCACCTACATCTTGCAAAACAGCCTAGAACTATTACAAACTCCACACTATGATGCACAGCACTGCTTTTCTTTACTTCCAAATTGCTGATCTTACAAGTTATTATAATCATAACAATGCACAAAATTACACACTAAGCAAAGCTAGTCTCCAGAAGTCCCTCATCCTACTCTCCACTTGAACAATGTACCTGTGCCCTCACATCCAAAGCACCCCACCTCATTACTCTACCCGGTAATAATGTTACTTAGATTGAACTTCTCTCTCTCCAGATCTACCATACTTCCATCCCATCAAAATATACCAACATAGATTCCATAATTTCCACATGGGCCCCAGCCTTCCTTGTAAAAAATTATGTAATCTGACAAACTATTCCTGCTAATATGTAGGCATTTGGCAGCCAAAAAGCAAAAATTACCTTACTGGTGGTCATCTCAACAGGACAGATTTCAACTGTACAGATCTGTGTCCCTCAAATATCACTAAATAGGCCTGGCATGGCAGCTCACATCTATAATCCCAGCACTTTGGGAGACCAAGGTGGGAGAATCATTTGAGGCTAGGGGTTCAAGACCAAGCTGGGCAACATAGTGAGACTCTGTTTCTAAAAAAAAAAAAAAAAACTTAAAAATTAGCCAGGTGTGATGGTATTCGCCTGTAGTCCCAGCTACTTGGGAGGCAGAGACAGGAGGATCACTTGAGCCTGGGAGGTCGAGGCTGCAGTGAGCCATGGTAGTGAGTGCCACTGCACTCCAGCCTAGGTGACAGCTCAAGACCCTGTATCAGAAGAAAAAAAAAAAAGGCCAGAGGAGGTAGCTCACGCCTGTAATCTCAACACTTTGGGAGGACGAGGCAGGTGGATCACTTTACGTCAGGAGTTCGAGAACAGCCTGGCCAATATGGTGAAACCCCATCTCTACTAAAAATACAAAAAATTAGCTGGGCATGGTGGCATGCACCCGTAATCCCAGCTACTCAGGAGGCTCAGGCATGAGAATCACTTGAAACCGGGAGGCAGAGGTTGCAGTGAGCCAAGATCACACTACTGCACTCCAGCCTAGGTGACACAGTGAGACTCTATCTCAAAAAAAAAAAAAAAAAAACACTAAAAAAAAATGCATACCAATTCTGTGAATCAGCCTTATTCTTTAAAACTATTTTTTAATTATAACAACTTAGCTTTAAATACTGTTATCTATTATGTTCTTTAATTTCCAGTTACTCCGAAATTCTCTGAAATTCCCCAGTGAGAAAATGGCAACTGGATGAACAATAAAATAAATATTTGCTTTACTCTAAGTATTTTTAAGATTTAAAAATAGGATGTCAGTCAAATACAAGTAAAATGAGAGAAAAAAAATCAAGGCTATATTCCATCTTCTTATAAAGTAAAGTGCATTTTGTAAATGACACAACTAAAACAGACTCAGGAAGATCACAAGGTCAAGACGTATCAAGAGGAGCAACTGCAAATAAATTATACAAGGCAGTATATAATATGATGGTTAAAAGGATAGGCTCCAAAGTCAAAGGTCAGGTTAAACCTCAAGTTTAAATCCTTTTAGTAGGCTCTACCACCTACTACTTAACTTCTCTGTGCCTCAGGTTTAGTTCAAATCCTGGCTCCACCACTTATTTAATCTGTCAGTTGCTCAGGTTTAAAAAAAAGAAAATAGCCTGATTGCGGGGTGGTTGTCAGGATCAAATGTGATGACATGTCAAGTACTTCTAGAGTAGTACAGTACCTGGTATATAGCAGTTGACGCACATTAGCTATTAATATGACCTATAACAATTTCCCTCTGAATCTATCAAGTTTTCAAAAACTCTAAATCAAAAAGCTTCTCCTTTTTATTTGAAAAAAGTCAAGCTCTGAAACCATTTCCTCTTTTTTTCAGTCCTTTTTGAATATGGAAATTAGTAGGTAACTGGCTTATCATTTGATGACTCTTCTTAGTCTTTGTATAATAAAAAGGCTCAAGACTCTTCTTAGTCTTTTTATAATAAAATTCTCTTCCAAATATTATACAAAGGACAGACTGCTCCATGGATCAAAAACACTACAAAGAGTTCACAAAGTATAATGAAATTCTGAGATTCATAAATGAACAGCTACTGGCACAAAAAGCTTAGATAAGAAATAATGCAGATGTCTGTTTGTTTGCTCAAGAAATACTGAATTTTATAATAAAACACAGATGGTAGAGATCTTCATGGCTTATAGTCACATCACTAAAAACAGAAAATATTTTTGGTAAATTTTTTCTTAACAACCAGAAAACCCCTTATTTCATCACAACAATGAATAGATAAATGACATTACAGGCAAAGACAATTTCTTCAAAAACAAATTACGTAGAGAAAAAAAGCTTAAAGGCTCAGATTTTCAGCTACACATATCCCTTACTTTGAGCTTCAAAAATTTGAGGCTTCTAGCACTCCTTGTGGTCTGTAACATTAAGCAGTAATACAATTAGGCCTCATTTCTACCAGAAAACATTAAACTGACTGAAAGAAAATTATCTAGAATTTTGATTCTGATCAATTTAAACATAATGCCATGAGTCATCTAGATGAGTCAAGCAAATATTAGAGTTCATGATAAACGAATCAAAATATGTTTTAAAGATCTGCAGACAAACGTTTTAATAATTTTGTATTTGCTGAAGTCCTCCTATGTGTGACACATTGAGGTAGGCACATTCATATTGAGGTATGCACTTTCACATGCATTATATAACTTTGTTCTCCCAACGATCATGGATTATTATCCTGATTTTACAAATGAGAAAACTAAGACCAAGTGATTGGCCGATGGAAACGACGCTTGTATAAGATTCAGTCAGAACACCAATTCAAATTTTCTGACCCTTATCGTACTTCCAAAACTCAAGTACTGTCAATCTCTGCTGTTGCAAAGCAAGTTAATCTTTTTATTTAGGGAGAGGTGAAAATAGAGATGGGAGAATAAAAATTCTTCATAATGTTACAAAAAAAGACTTACTGTGCTTTATCTGACATAATTTATTCAGTCTGACTTAAATGCTTTGCTGCACGTTGTCTACCCCCTTAGACACTGCTTATCTTCAGACACACAGCCCACACCAAAACCTAACTCAAGAATCACCTCCTCCAAGAAAGTTTCCCAGATTAAATGACCTGTTCCCCTTCTCCCAAGCTAACATCCTTCCTTTATCATTTCGCTGCTTGCATTTAGTTTGGACTACATTATCAGATACTCCTTTTGTTCTCCAGTCATATATCTGGAAGTAGACTTTTTTCATTCATTAACTATTGAACATTTGGAGATTCAATGGTGAGCAAAACAGACAAGGTCCTTGCTATCATGGAGAATTTACATTATCTGGATCTTCGACAAAGGTAAAAATAACAGGGTATAAGAATATGATGCTCTAGGACTAGGATTTCTTCCCTATAAGGTCTCCGAAAATAGCTCTCTCCCTTGCAAGCTTGATAACACTTTTCAGGAAGAAAAATTCCTTCTATCACGCCTTCCACATGAGAATTTTATGACTTTGTGAGGATATGTGAGGGATGGGGACCAAGGTGGGAAGAAAGATCTAAAATCTCTCAGGGGTTTCCCACATACTGCCATGAAATATGCACACAACATGAGTCTAGACATCTCTTCCTGTGTCTCATCACAAGGAAGCTATACTTTGGCCACAACTGCTCCAGTCAAGCACTTCTACTAATCTCCTTGTACCCAGCCACCTTCACTAAAAATTGTATATTTCTCAGAGGCTTTTTGTTTTTTTGGTGTTTTTTGAGACTGAGTCTTGCTCTATCGCCCAGGCTGGAGTGCAATGGCATGATCTTGGCTCGTTGCAATCTCTGTCTCCTGGGTTCATGCGATTCTCCTGCCTCAGCCTCCCAAGTAGCTGGGATTACAGGCACACACTGCCACGCCCAGCTAATTTTTTTGTATTTTTAGTAGAGACGGGGTTTCACCATGTTGGCCAGGCGGGTCTTGAACTTCTGACCTCATGATCTGCCCACCTCAGCCTCCCAAAGTGCTAGCATTACAGGCGTGAGCCACCGGGCCTGGCCTCTCAAAGGCTTTTTTATTCAAGTTGTGTTTCTGTCTTATTTGCAGGTCATTATTTGTAAGATTAAGGCAGGACCTATGTCCTCTTTGAATTGCCTGATGCTCCAAGAACATTGCTATAAATGTTTTTAACTTTCAATATAATACAAACATTACAACATGACATTTCAGGCATTGTTATTAGGATAATATTAGGATAAAAGTTTTCCAAATTAATATTAGAAAACTAGATCTATGTACTGTATCAATTCTTTGTCTTTAATGCCTTAATTCAAGTAATCTACTTTTGAAGGATTATTTACAAACCAAAGCCAAGTTGAAATGTACTAACACTGGTTAAAATTCTGCAATTCATACTTTTAAACAAAAGATCCGCCAGACACAGTGGCTCATGACTGTAATCCCAGCACTTTGGGAGGCTGAGGCGGGCGGATCTTGAGGCCAGGAGTTGGAGACCAGCCTGGCCAACATGGTGAAACCCCATCTCTAATAAAAATACAAAAATTAGCCTGGCATGGTGGCACGCACCTGTAATCCCAGCTACTCAGGAGGCTGAAGCATAAGAATCTCTTGAACCCAGGTGGCAGAAGCTGCAGTGAGCCAAGTTGCACCACTGCACTCCAGCCTGGGATACAGAGTGAGACAGTCTTAAAAAAAAAAAAAAAAAAAATCCTTTTGTAATGCATATTTTACAAATTCATAATTTCATCATTTTTCTTAAAGCAAACTAAAACATAAATTCATTATACACAATTGTAAATTTATCCCCAAAGTGTTTTCTAAGGCTTCCAATTTTTAAATGAACCAAGGAACTGAATATTGACAAATGTATAAGTACCCTGAATGTGTTATAAAAAACATATTTGACTGTCTTTAAAATGCAGTAACATTCTAAGGAAAATACAGTAGCATCTTTCCACAGATCAGAGATTCAATAACTATTATGATTCAATCAAAGAGAAATAAACCATGGCCATTTTTAATTAAACAGGCATTTCTAAGCACCTGTGTACACGGTATTGCTGTTCAAACGGTTGACATGGAATGTGACCGCAATAACTTGATGTCCATAATTAAAGACCCAAAAGGTAGCTTAAGTTTCATCTATTTCCTTTCTCAGCCCTTTGAGCAGGTATATTATAGTCACTCCATACACGGTTAATATTAAAAAAAAATAAAAGTAACAAACATTTGAAATTAGTTGTACTTTTATAGAGAACAGTTTTAAATTGCATGGCCTTACTTTTCCTATTCCAACCTATTTTATAAAACTAGCATGATCTTAATAATTTCACTGCAAAACAGGTTCTAGCAAGCATAGAAACTGATCATAGCCTCTCAGCAAAATCAAGTTTAGATGAAACTCTAGGAAATTAGCAAAATTTAACAATCAATTCACCCACGATTCTCCACAATTCTTGCTCTCTCTAGATACGAAGGGAGGCAAAAACTGTTTTAAAGGATTATTTCAAAAGCAGCACTAATTTTGGGAAAAACTTAACTGCCATGCAGGAGACACTGTATTACTACTCAGACGTCATTTAAGTCTTCTAGCAGCAGAAAGGCAAAAACATCATTAAATTTTTTATTTAATGCATATATACTTACATTATCAGTTAAAGTTTACCCATCTGTTTACGTTGTCCAAGTTACCTATTATTTCAGAAAGCATTTAAATAAAATGAAATTAGGTTACGTTCTGCAACGCAGATGTGTCTCATAAAGAAGAGTGTTAAATGACTTTTGTGAATGGAAAATCTGCATATACTGTTGCTTCGCCTCAGCCAGTCTTGAGTGGGTGGTTCAATGAACCTAAAGCATGCTGCCTGTGAAGCTCCTTGGAACCTGATTCCACTCTTGAGAGAGGGCTTAGAAACAAACATTAAATTTAAAAGCACAGCAAAGGCTTGGCTTTCCTCCTACGTTACAAGAAGGCCGGGAGAACTGAGGCTTAGAGGAACAACACCGTGTCGCTTGGCTCTGCAAAGGCGGGTGCGGTCTGCGGTGCGCGGCACAGCCTTCTCTGGGGCTGTCACAGGAAAGAAGGAGCCTCGCCTTAACCGCACCGAGCGACAAAGCGCCAGCTCTCCTGGGCGCGGGGGCTCCCAACGAGGCCCATGCCATCAACCTATCAAACTTCAGGAGGGACAGACACCCGGGGCGGTCGAAATGCTCCAACAGCCTCCCACCCCCGTTCCCCTGCCGCGGCTTTTGTAAGGCTGCAGATGCACCTACTGTGGGCCCCTAAACACTCCACCCTGCCAGCCTTTCCAATCCCCCTACTCCAAAAGGGAACAAAGGAGCCAAAGAACTCCTCGGCGGGGGTGGCCAGGAGTCCCCGACAGCCCGAGCTCAGAACGTGGCAATAAGGGTGCGCAGTCGCCCTGAGGGGTGCGAACCCAGCACCCCAACCTCAGGAATGGAGCAACACTCACCCGTGCGGAGCTCCCAGGGAGGCGGGACGCAAGGAGCCGGTTCCTCCGAGGTCGCCGCGGCGCCGGGGTCCGAGGCCCCGTAAGCGTCTAGTCAGACCCCAACTTCTCTCGGCCGCTGTCGTCGGCGGCAGCTGGGGCGCGAGCCTGGACGAAGGGCGCTGCCCAGCGGCCGCGGAGGCACTGCCGGCTCAGCCCCCGAGCGGGGCGGGAACTTTCGGCCCCGAGGTCCACCAGCCCGGGCGGACCCCCACCTTCCCTCAGTCGGCTTGCTACCGGCAGCGGCTACTGCGGCGTCCAAAGCTAACACTACAGCCGCCGCCTGGCCAGGAGCGCGTCGCGGCCTAATGTTGTCATCCGCCGCGTCGCCGCCTTTCTGGGCACCCAGAACCGCGAAGATCCTTCACATTCTAGTGCCCTCCCCCTGCCCCGCCCGCCCCCCGGATCACGGGCTTCGGCCACGCCCTCTTCCCGTCACGTGACGGTGCGCGGAGGCGGTGGTGGAGTTGCTTCCCCTGCTAGGCGGGCTCGAACCGGGCGGGAGTCACTGTCCACCTTGCTTCGCCAGGGTGTTATCGCCAGCCAGTCCCCTTCCGCATGCCCAAGGGCAGCCTCAGGAAGCGAGCCCACCACCGTCGGCCCAGCGCCTGTTGATCGGCCAGGCCTTCTGGGCCGGTCATACTGGGCCCTTCCTAACCTGAGGAGATTGCACAGTAGGGCTCCCTGGTCTGGTCAGGGCTCAGTTAGGACCCCTCTCCAGCCTTAGGCTTGGTGAAAGCTTTAGCGAAACAGAAAAAAGAACGCATCGTGGTGTAGAGTGTATGGCCTAAGAAGCATTCGGTAACTAAACTACTTGTTCCTATTTCTAGTGGCACATTAACCGTGGCATTTAATTTACTGCTTTCCTCATTAGAGGTTTTTTTTTTTTTGAGGAAACGGTGTATTTCAATCATGCTGGGATGAAAACAGCCTAGCAAACTTATTTTTGTTCCTTGTTATGTTCAGGATCCTGCTGCCAGTTTTACAGTCATTAAGTTTTACAGTGTGTTAGGTTGGTGACAGTTTAAACGGGTACGCAGGAATTTGACAGTTTGTTCCATTTTTTAAAATAAAGCCTAATTCTTGATTTTTTTTCTAATGCCTTAATTTTTTTTTCCTAATTCCTTAACTCTAGGACTTAACCTTTTGCTTTCTTTTTTAGCCATGATCCGAAGAACCCTCTAGCCGCCTAATGAAATCCTAACTATACAGAAGTAAGGGAGGTAGAATAAAGATCATACTCAAACCCTGATCACAATGAAGGCAAATGAGAAAGCTTTCTGTAATAATTAAATTGGGGTCATAACTCATTTTCCCTTGTAGCCCAGAACTAAGGATTTTTTTCTTAAGCTATTCTCATCTCATTACATTTTCTTAACAAGAAATCAGAAGGCATTCTGATAAGCTGGATACATTGAAATGAATAAGCAATAGAGTTTGGCCTATATAATTATTATTAATATATTTCATAGCAGCTCTAAAAAAATCATAGACTTACATTGTTTTATGTTACCCAAGAAAGAAAACAAAGGCTGCCAATGAAACTATGCCATACCGCTGATATGTAAGGCACCTTTAAGCCACATCTTTTTCCTTTTTTTTTTGAGACAGGGTCTCACTCTGTCTCCCAGACTGGAGTGCAGAGGCGCAATCTCGGCCCACTGCAATTTCCGCCTCCCGGTTCAAGCGATTCTCCTCCCTTAGCCTCCCAAGGAGCTGAGATTACAGGCATGCGCCACCATGCCCAGCTAATTTTTGTATTTTTAGTAGAGAGGAGGTTTCACCATTTTGGCAAGGCTGGTGTTGAACTCGTGACCTCAAATGATTCACCCGCCTCGACCTCCCAAAATGCTGGGATTACAGGCATGAGCCACCGCGCCCGGCCTGAGACACATCTTGAATTCAGAGATGTAAACATGTCAGAAACAACGAGTCTTAGAATCTCTGAGATATTGTCATGAACTGGGAAACAACGAGTCTTAGAATCTCTGAGATATTGTCATGAACTGGGAAACAACGAGTCTTAGAATCTCTGAGATATTGTCATGAACTGGTGTTCCAAAGAGGAAAAGATTCTACCAGGTTCTGTTCTGAAGCCTGAGAGACTGTAGTACAAATAAATGTGAAGGAAGTTTATTATTCTGTGACATTATTTCAGCAAAGCTAGTAACTTTGGAGTTTGTTAACAGATTAACTTGTCTCCTGTTTTCTAGAGGCATGTTTTTCAACCTGCAACTCAAAAATCAATTTCATTTTTATATGAAATAGGCTAGGATGTAATACAATATAAAATACCAGAGTGCATAATGTCTAGTAAGGGCAAAAATTGCTTCCTGAAACTTTTTGTTTCAAATATGGTGGAAGGTGAGAGTATGTCCTATGTTGTGATTTAAACAATTTCTTACTGTGAGTTGCAATCAAATAGATTTGGAAAAGAATGTTCCTAGAGCATAGATAATATGCAAAATACACCATCTGGACCCCGTTTTTCTGGTACTTTTATTTTACTTTGGAAACTGAGACTAAAGATTAGAAAAAGGTGGCAAATTGCCTTGCCTAATTCTCTTCTGCCTCAGCCCCAATTTCATACATTGGCTTTTGAAAATTTGATCATTTGTTGGAAAAAGCAATGTACTGGAAGCAAGGAAGCCTAGGTTACAGACTTAGCTAATGAGATGTATGACTAGATAAATTACTCCCTGCATTTCAAGTTCCAATCAAGTAGGACCACATGCTGTTTGAGAAATGATACTAAACCACCTTTTTTTTTTCCCGGTGGATGGCAATCACATTGGAAACAAACAGACACGGTATACTCAGGATTATGCAAATTACTGACAGCCTACGTTTAACTTCTTTCAGCTCCACTCAAAAAAAAGAAAGTCCTAATGCAAGTAATTGAAAGTGAAGATATTGCAAAACAAATGTAAGTATATCTTTCACAATCTTCTCTACTTTGATTATCACTAGTATAATAGTTACTTGTCATGAATAACTAATGATTTTGACATACTTAACAACTGATTGCAACACAAAAATATATTAATCCACTACAGTTGAAAAATCATTTTTTCAGATCCTTTCAAATCTGATATTGTGATTCCAGGAATGATAATTCAATCTAGCATTTTCAATGTAATGACAACATAAACAGAAACTAATATGTGATCCTGCACTGTAACTGAAAAATATTCAGTAACTCCCAGAGATGCCCTGCAAGTTTGCTACTCTTACAATGATTTTAAGAATGACATTTTGAAATAAAGCTTTTTTATTATAACGATCCGATTTTAACTCCAATGAGAATTCATCTCTTTTGCCTACTGCTTTATTAATTATACATTTCTAAGAATGGGAAGTTCTTTCCAAATTAGTTTAAGCACTGACAGGCTTGACAGCCTTTCCCACAGTATATTTCAACCCTGACCTAGAATGACAGAGATGTTGCTTGAGGTTGTTTGCTTTTTTCCATTTGGCTTATCCCATTAGACAATTATGTTGCTGACAATTACTAATCAGGATTCTAGACTAAAATCCTCATTTTCTGGAAGAGAATTTAGATTAAGAGCAACCTCAGCCATAAATAAGGTATTCAACACAGCTTTGAAGACTTGTATTCTTGTTGGTCATGTGATTTGCTTTAGCCAGTGCTTTGTGAGCAGATGTTAAATGCTAAATCAAAGCAGAGGCTTTAAATTTGATTGCAAAATTCAGGTCAATCTCTTACTCTTGTGCCACCTGCCATGAGAAAGGTATGTTCCAGATAAGATCTCAGAATAAGAAAATAGATGGAGCAGACCTGAAACTCTCACCCTGTACAGAACTGAAGCAACTGACTTGCAGCTCCTGACATACGGCTACTGATGTGAAACAAGAGTAAAACAAAAATATTTGTTGTTGTGAATCACAAATATTTTTGAGATTGTTTGTTGCGTAGCATAATCTTGCAAATCATCTAAAGTGAATTTGAGCCAACAAACTCATGAGTCAAAGGCTAAATGTACTGTGGAACAATAATATTTGTCTATTTAATAAAATAAATAACAGACATCTACAAACTAGTCAACCAGCTATTTGGTAAATATCCACCTAAAATTTATGTTAAGAAGCAGTCTTTATAAAATCTGTAAATTTGCATGCAAAATGTTTGCATGTAAGATATTTACATACTGATTTTAAATATTTCTGTTTAGTATTATTTGTCTTAAATATCCCTTGAGGAAAATTTGGATAGTAAAGTATAAAGAGAATATAGGATTCTGTTTCTAGAAATATCAAGGACTAGTTCACACTTGTCACACTGAAAACAAAATCCCTGGAAAAAACATTTTTTAAATCTTATTAAATATATTGATTAACTGACAATAGGGTAAGAAATTATTAAGTTAAAAAACTAAATGAAGGCAGGAACCTAGAGTTTAGCAGAGTCAGCCAACTTTTATCTCAAGGGCATGTGCTAAACCCAGTTACTAGGAGCATTGGTTTTCGTGACCTTGTAAGAAAGACACAAAACCCATTACCTGCATTATACACACACACACACACACACACACACACACACACACACAAACAACTGCAATTCCAAGGATTATTAATTTGATGTAAGGATATACTAGAAATAAACTTGCTGCTTACTAGCATAGGCACCCATCCCCCAGAATCTACAAAGAAAATTAGCCGTCTTAAACCTTGGCACCTGGTGGACAGGGGAAAAGCAAAATCGTATCTGAGAATTTGGAACTGCAATCCAATTCTCACACAAAAACGTAGCTTGAATTCATACTAGCTGGGTGGTCCCCAAAAACTTCAGGCTAATAATTAAGATTTTTTTTTTTTTTTTTTTTTAGACAGGGATTCTCTGTCGCCCTGGCTGGAGTGCAGTGGCATGATCTCAGCTCACTGCAACCTCCGCCTCCCAGGTTCAAGCAATTCTCCTGCCTCACCCTCCCGAGTAGCTGGGACTACAGGCACGTGCCACCACGCCCAGCTAATTTTTTTATTTTTAGTAGAGACAGGGGTTTCACCATGTTGGCTAGGCTGGTCTCGAACTCCTGACCTCGGGTAATCCGCCCACCTCCGCCTCCCAAAGTGCTGGGATTATAGGCATGAGCCACTGTACCTAGGCGTAATTATGAATTTTTGACTGATAATGCTCTCAGAAACCTGGCAGAAGCAAATACCAATCCTCTCTGGAGGAACCCACCTTCATCTTAAGCCATAAAGAATGACTATAAATAAAATTTTAAGGAAAATGAGCAGCTCACATTTAAAAAAAAATAACAAGCACAGAATAAGACACCATTCGTGAGAAACAGTACAGACTTAAGACAGCACAAACAAATTTTAAAAGACTTCAGATCCTGGATTTACAAGTCACGGACTGGGCCAGGTGTGGTGGCTCATGCCTGTAATCCCAGCACTTTGGAAGGTCAAGGCAGGCAGATCACTTGAGGTCAGGTGTTTGAGCCCAGCCTAGCCAACATGGTTAAACCCCCATCTCTACTAAAAATACAAAAATTTCGCCTGTAATCCCAGCTACTGGGAAGGCTGAGGCAGGAGAATCGCTTGAACCCGGGAGGTGAAGGTTGCAGTGAGCCAAGATCGCGCCACTGCACTCCGGCCTGGGCGACAGTGAGACTCCACCTCAAAAAAAAAAAAAAAAGGGGTCACAGACTGTAAATAACAATATTAAATATGAGTAAAGGAATAAAAGACAAGTTTGAAAATATGTGCAGAGAACAAAAAACTAAAGTAGGAATGAAGATTTTGAAAAAAGCAAATAGAACTAAAAGAGTTGAAAAACATAAATGATTAGAATAAAAACTCAGTGGACAAATTTAGTAGTTCATTTGACACAGCAGAAATACAAGCCAATGAAATGGAAGATAAAGATGAAGTTAAATGCAATAAAAAAAGAAAACATAAATTAAAAATATAAAAGAGACTTTAAGTGACATGGAGGACATTGTAAACAGCTCTAAAATCTAATTATGACTTCAGATGAAAAGGAAAGAGCCAGTGGGCCAGAGGCAGTATTTGACAAGATAATGGTTGTGAACTTTCCAGAACTGATGAAAGACTCCAACTCACAGACTTAAGAAGCCTCCCAAATCCCAAGCAAGTTAAAGAATAATAAAACCACGCTGAGATATATCACAGTGAAACTGTAGAACACCAAAAACAAAAAAGAAAACCTTAAAAGCAACAAAGAAAAAATATAGTTAATCTTCAAAGTGTCAGGTAAATGACTTTTCATCAGAACCAGTGAAAAACAGAAGACAGTGGAATAATATCTTCAGTGGACTAAAAGAAAATGACTGTCAGCCTAGAATTCAGTACCCAGTGAAAAAATTATTTCAAGAATGAGGCCAAAATAAAGGAATTTTCCGGCAAGCAAAAGCAGAATTTGCCGCTAATAGAGTCTCGCTAAAGGAAAGTCTAAAGAAATTTCTTTTTTCAGACAAAAAGAAAATGATCCCAGGCCAGGCACAGTGGCTCACGCCTGTAAATCACAGCACTTTGGGAGGCTGAGGCAGGAGGATCACAGGAGTTTGAGACCAGCCTGGACAACATATTGAGATTTTATCTCTACAAAAAATTTAAAAGTTAGCTGGGCATGGTAATGTGTGCCTGTGGTCCTGACCCGGGAGGCTGAGGTAGGAGGACTGCTTGAGCCCGGGAGATCAAGGCTGCAGTGAGACATGATCACACCATTATACTCCAGCCTGGGTAATAGAGAGAGATCCTGTCTCAAAAAAAAAAAAAAGAAGAAGAAGAAGAAAATCAACTCAAATGGAAGGTCTGAGAGTTGATAATAAACGAAGAGCATTAAGAGTGGTAGATATTTGCCTAAATCTAAATACAATTGACAATGCAAACAAACAGTAAGTATTGTTAAAATTATTTTAATAAGTTTTTTTAAAGAAAAAAAAATCACATATCTAACATTAGAAATAGACCCAACCAAATTTGCATTTTATGCCTACTATTAGACCTCATTAGACAAAGTATTTTACAAACTAGTACTATTATCTCCATCTGATACATACCTTTTATTTTAAAAGCAAAAACATGATACATTTCTTCTTTTCTCATCCATAGAGGCAAATTGTATTAATATATTATTGGTATTCTCTTTTTAAATAACAGCATTTTAAGTGTTTTTCTTCACAATGACATTCTTATTTCAAATTTACATAATGTACCAGTGAAGATGATGTATTACATAATTAGACTAAGAAAGTAGCATATATTTAGGAGATCATGATTTAGAGTAATAAAAAGCAGAATTATATACTATTTTCACTTAACTATGAAGTATTAATGATTCCCTCCATAGAAGTCTATAAATGAAAGTTCATCATAACAAATTATATAATTATGTATTCACAGGTTAAAGACAATTAAGTCTTATTGAAATGCTCTGCCTACCCTTTCCACCCACGTTGCCTATTCAAAATTATGTGCATGCTATGACTTTTAACACCATCTTGGGAAATAGCTAGAAATTTGTGCGCAGGTATAAGGATTGACTACTGAGTTTTAACTCAATTCAGAGGACATCCTAAATTCAAAATAAATTCTAATAATAATAAGAACCCATTTCTGATAGCTACTTAGACTACAAATTTCCAATTGTAAATGTGTTTTTCATTTCAATTTTAGGAGAGTGTTTTTTTTTTAAGTTTATCATGACTATTTAAACATGGGAAGCTTAGAACACATAATCCCTTAGATTTCCAAATCTGTAAGTATAATGCAAATGAATTATACCTTACTTTTTTTAAACCAGAACCTTTCTCTTTTTTCCCCTCAACCACGAGATCATTCAAAGTATATTTACTTATATACTACTTTGTTTTTGTTTTAGAATCAGGGTCTCACTCTGTCACCCAGGCTGAAGTGCAGTGGCGTGCATTACAGCCTCGAACTCCTGGGTTCAAGTGATCTCCCTCCTCAGCCTCCTGAGTCACTGGGATTACAGGCATGAACCACCACACCCTAGAATATTTTCTTGATAAAACCAAATCTATAATTTTATAGAAGACTGTCCAAATGACTTTTATTTATATCTCTTAATATATGTAAAAGTGTATACATTACTAGTATTCCTATTAGCTACTAGATTGCTAGCTAATTACAAGATTATTCCAGTTAGCTTTGTCCAGCCTGTATTTATACAAGTATATGAAACTCTTGAGAAGTCACAGTAATTAAATTTTCATAAACCAGGTTGTATATTAATTCTTTCAATTTAATAAGTTATCAGTTTGTACTGGGTCCTACACTTACTTACAAAAAAAAATTATCAAGTATCTGTATGTTGTTCTACCTCTTTCCTGAAATGAGTGTAAAGCTAACAAGAGTCCTCACCCTATAAACCAGCAGTATTTCAAAACTCATTGTTACTGTTCTGGGAGTGAAGGTGCCGTATATTCTTACCGCATTATCAGGTAGCAACCATCTACTCAATCCTCCCAACCACAGGTACTACCTAGATGTCTTTTGCCAGATCTCCCAGGTATTTAGTGCCTCTTTTACCTCTACAGAACACTGGTACCCAGAAGTGATATGGTGGAAAAAGAAGGCGCCTACCCTATATTCCAATAAAGTCTGTCCACTACATTCCTGTCACGTTCATTCCTCTGTTCTAGGCCCTGTTGATATTCTCCCCTAGTTGTTTCCAGTCCATTTCTATGGGAGCCTTACTTTTGTCTGGTATTCTTACATGCACAGCTGAGACCAGACTCCCAGTCTCATTCCCTTAATTGTATCCTTTAATCCTTAATCCCTGTAATATCCTCCTGGAACTGGGATTGATATACCTCTATTGAAGACTTTATCTTTGAATGTCAGCTCACTTCCAGACATGGCCACCAACTCCACCCCATGATCGCACATTGTTATACTCCCCACTTCCTTCTGCAGTCAGCAAATAGACTTGGACCTGACATTCTTTGTGTCCTAAGCCCCCCACCCCTTCCTTAAGTTACTAAAGTAGTACACCAAAAGAATACAATTATCTGAACTGAGGGCGGGGAAAATTCCAGAGAAAAATGACCTTCGTGCAACAAACAAAGGCAAGAGAGTAAAAGGGAGGGCACTGTTAGAGATTTAAAATAGACTTACCAGATATATCAACCAAGTGCAATACGTGGATCTTTACCTTTATCAGATTCCAATTCAAACAACTTATAAAAAGATATAATGAGACAATCAGGAAAATTTTAATACCAACTACATATTACAGGATATTAAGGAATTATTGTTAATTGTCTTAGTTGTGATAATGGTACATGATTATGGTTTTTGTTTTTTTAATGTCTCATTTCCTAAAGACATTCTAAAATGTTACTGGGTCCCTGCTTTAGGAAAGAAAAAAAAAGAAGACTTTCAGAGTATGTCACTTTCTTTTTTATACCTGTCGGTCAATTCCATGGGAAAGTATTACTACTTGTTATTTTCTACCCTTAACCAAATACAGTAATCATTTTCTCCTTATCATATCTATTATTATTTTTTAGTAGAAGTGTTCAAATCAAAAGCAGCCCATGCTGCCTACCTGGTATTTGCTCCAAACATCTATTAAACCACTATGGAAGGCCTAACATCATAAGACTGGTGGTAAATAAATCTGATTGAGCATGTTAGCATGTTCAAATTTATATAAAGCATTCTGCAAATACAGATTACTCTAGAGATGCTAAGAAGCAGATGTACTGATCTCGTTGGCATTGGCATTCACATGATTCAGCTACAAATAGAATTTGAACAGATTCCAAATGCACAACTGTCAAATTCATAAAAAGTAGCAAAAAAAATGTCAAATAAAAATTTAGGCTTTGCCTAGAATAGCAGTGACTGTGTTTTAAAAAAATCGAAATATTCTGTTAATGTTTTATTTCTTCAGTGCTAATATTTGACAAGAACTAAGTACTTTGATTTCCATTGAATTCGCAGTGATAGCCCAGAAACTGTTATAAGTTAGTATTACTATTGGGTCCACAGAAAACCTCAAAATACATTTTAACCAAAATTACAAAGTTAATACAAATTTGATTCACTGAAGTAGTATAGTGCAGTGTGTTTGAGTTCTAACACCAAAATCAGACAGATCTCAGTTCTAACCCTAGCTTTGTCATTTACCACCAAGGCTGTCATCTGTAAAATCATCTGTAAAACAGGAGTTTAAAAAAAAACTCTTTTATAATATTATAAGAATTAAAGAACTCAAGAAATATAAACTATTATGGTCACTACCTTTTGGGAATATTATGTTCTATACAATATTACTAACTGTATTTTCACTACACCCAGTTGGAGAAAAATTACACACAGACCATACACTCTACCATCCTCTCATTGATAACAAGGCTTTTGTAGCAACTGGCCTGATTCTGAGGTTTATAGAAGATACATAGGCAGGCATGACTTCAGGCCATTATGCAGCTTTATGTAATAATCTACACAACCCCTAATATGTACGTATCAGGATCTTTCATGTGATGTGAAAATGAAAGCCACTTCCTTAACAACCAGGAAACACTAAATTTCAGAGTTATGTTTTCCATTCAAGTAAATCTCCAGCCAGACCTCCTCTTACAATACATGGAGTTAGCATTCCCAGCCAGTCCCCTCTTGCCACACTTATTTCTTAGTATAACAAATTACAGTAAATAAAACTTATCAGCCAGGCACTGTGTCTCCCGTCTACAATCCCAGCAATTTGAGAGCCTGAGGTGGGAGGATCACTTGAGGTCGAGAGTTCAAGATCAGTCTGGGGAACATAGCAAGACCCTGTCTCTACAAAAAATAAAACAATTAGCCATGTGTGGTGGCACATGCCTGTAATTTCACCTACTTGGGAGATTGTGGCAGGAGGATCACTTGAGCCCGGGAGTTCAAGGCTACAATGAGCTATGATTGTGCCACTGCATTCAAGCCTGGGCAACAGAGAAAGAGGGGACTGGCTCTAAAAATAAAAACAAAAACAAAACTTACATCTAAGGATGATGCAGTAATGCACACATGTCCTTATTATTATTCTTTTGCCTTCACAGTGTTGCTTAGCAACCCAGAACATCTTATCTATGATTTTGGGTGTAAAAATGGCTTTTTGAAATATTTATTTGAAATCTTTCTTTGAAACAAGTAAGATAGATATAAAGATTTCAGGCGAATTCAAGTTAAACATTTAGGGCTAGAATACTTACAGGTTATATATTTTTATATAGTATCTTTCATGCTATTTGATTAATGTACAACTATTGATATTTAGAATGACAGCTGAATTGATGATATGATGACAGGCTCATCCCTCCATTGTAAACTATGGTAAGTAATTTGTATGGCATTGCTTTGATACTACACAGATGTCCAGTTCCCCTTCAAACATAAACCTTATGCTTTAACACTTATTGAAAACCCTTACATGAGTCAGTAATTTCAATAAGAATTGCAAAACAATTATAAATATATCATTCCTTCTACATTCTGACTTTCTTTGGTAACCTAGAGCTTGCCTTTATTACCTGGAACTATTTGGTTACCCTGAAATATAACTCCTACTGGAAAGGAAAAGTAAATAATAAGTCTTTGCTTTTAATTACTAATTTTCAAAGTAAAGATATTTTGGAGACTAATGGAAAAATTTGAATTTGGGTTTTAGATAAGATAAAAATGTATTCACTTGGAAAGGTGAAGATTGTTAATTTAAAAAAGTAAATAGGTTACAAAACCACACATTGAGTATGGTATCATTTTGGTAAAAATATATTTATATATTTATGTGCATATATAGGAATAAATAATGAACTGGAAAGATATACACCGAACTGTTAATCTCTGGAAAGGGGGTTGTTTTGTTTTATTTTGCTGATATGTAGTTTTGTACTTTCTACTTGCATATGCTGGTTTTATAATAATAAAAGGTTATTTTAAAAAGAAAATCACTATTTTCCGCTGAGCCCAGATACAGCTTCTGAATCACCATCAACATGAGACTGGTACATTCCAGCATGGGAGGCTGCCAGGGCATCAGTCCAGCTGGTTACTTCTTCGAAGAAGTAACTACTGATTTCCTTTTGCCTATTGATTTCCATTGCCTATGCATCTTACCTGTGGCTCAAGATTACCTTGGCACTAAATCCAATTAGCCTTTTCACTTTGGCAGCCCTTACCAATTGGCAACTTCTTTGTCTCTTGGTTTGCTTTTGGGCAAAAATTACCTTCTTCTTTAGTTTTTGAGTCATTATATCCTCTTGGTTTTCTTCCTACCTTTCTGACTTCTCAGTCTCCTTTGAAAGTTTACAGCTTCTTTAATTTCCCCCACAATTCCATACTCAGCCTTCTCTCTTCACTCTATATCTTTTTCCCAAAAAAGGGAGGAGAAAAGAGAATACATTTTATGTTCTAATTCTTGTTAATCTATCAAATAGATATCTCTAGCCTTGTTCTCTCTCCTGAAGAACATAGTCACATATATAATCACAAATTATTATAATCTCCATTTAGACATTTCACCTGAAAAATATATAAAACTTAATTCAATCTCTATGCATTAATTTTTCAATAGTTATTAGTCATCTTCTGAGCATCGGGTTATGCTAGAAACTGAAATACATATTAGCATGAGTAAAACTGGCATAGCTGGAAATTAAGTTGAAGAAGTAAATGGAGACCAAATCCTATAGGAGATTTAATGGAATGTGTATTAGTCTGTTCTCACGCTGCTAATAAAGACATACCCAAGACAGGGTAATTTATAAAAGAAAGAGGTTTAATTGACTCACAGTTCCACATGGCTGGGAGGCCTCACAATCATGGCGGAAAGCTAATGAGGAGCAAAGTCACATCTTACATGGTGGAAGGCAAGAGAGAGAGCATGTGCAGGCGAACTCCCTTTTATAAAACCATCAGATCGACCAGGTGCAGTGTCTCACACCTGTAATCCCAACACTTTGGGATGCTGAGGTGGGCAGATCACCTGAGGTCAGGAGTTTGAGACCAGCCTGGCCAACATGGCGAAACCCTGTCTCTACTAAAAAATGCAAAAATTAGCTGGGTGTGGTGGCGCGCACCTGTAATCCCAGCTACTAGGTATGCTGAGGCAGGAGAATCGCTTGAACCCAGGAGGTGGAGATTGCAGTGAGCCAAGATCGTGCCACCGCACTCCAGCCTGGGCAACAGAGCAAGACCCTGTCTCAAAAAAAAAAAAAAAACAGCTGGGTGCAGTGGCTCACACCTGTAATCCCAGCACTTTGGGAGGCCAAGGCGGGCAGATCACGGGGTCAGGAGATCAAGACCATCCTGACCAACACAATGAAACCCTGTCTGTACTAAAAATACAAAAAAACTAGCCGCACGTGGTGGTGCGTGACTGTAGTCCCAGCTACTGAGGAGGCTGAGGCAGGAGAATCGCTTGAACCTGGGAGACAGAGGTTGCAGTGAGCTGACATGGCACCACTGCACTCCAGCCTGGGCAACAGAGCGAGACTGTCAAAAAAAAAACAACAAAAAAACCATCAGATCTCGTGAGACTTATTCATTATCACAAGAACAGCACAGGAAAGACCCACCCCCATGATTCAATTACCTCCCACCAGGTCCCTCCCAAGATGTGTGGGAATTATGGGAGGTACGATTTGAGATGAGATTTGGATGGGGATGCAGCCAAACCATATAATTCTACCCTGGCTCCTCCCAAATCTTAAGTCCTCACATTTCAAAACCAATCATGCCTTTCCAACAGTCCCCCCAGAGTCTTAACTCATTTCAGCATTAACTCAAAAGTCCACAATTCAAAGTCTTATCTGGGACAAGGCAAGTCCCTTCTACCCATGAACCTGTAAAATCAAAAGCAAGTTAGTTACTTCCTAGATACAATGGAAGTTAAGGCACTGGGTAAATATACCCATTCCAAATGGGAGGAATTGGCCAAAACTAGGGGACTACAGTCCCCATGCAAATCTGAAATCCAATAGGGCAGTCACTAAACCTTAAAGTTCCAAAATGATCTCCTTTGACTCCATGTCTCACATCCAGGGCATGCTGATGCAAAAGGTGGGCTCCCATGGCCTTGGGTAGCTCTGCCCCTGGCTTTGCAGGATGCAGTCAGTCCCCATCCTGGCTGCTTTCACAGGATGGCATTGAGTTTCTGGCTTTTCCAGGCACACAGTGCAAGCTATTGGTGGGCCTACCATTCTGGGGTCTGGAGGACAGTGGCCCTTTCTCACAGCTCCACTAGGCAGTGCCCCAGTGGGGAATCTGTGTGGGGGCTCCCACCCCACATTTCCCTTCCACACTGCCCTAGCAGAGGTTCTCCATGAGATCTCTGCCCCTGTAGCACACCTCTGCCTGGACATCTATGCATTTCCATACACCCTTTGAAATCTAGGTGGAGGTTTGCAAACCTCAATTTTTCCATGCACCCACAGGCCAAATGCCATGTGTAAGCCACCAGGGCTTCAGGCTTGCACCCTCTGAAGCAATGGCCTGAGCTGTACATTGGCCTCTTTTAGCCATGGCTGGGATGCAGGGCACCAAGTCCCAAGACTGCACAAAGCAGCAAGGCTCTGGGGCCAGCCCACAAAACCATTTTTTCCCACTAGGCCTCTGGGCCTATGAGGGGAGGGGCTGCTGCGAAGACCTCTGACATGCCCTGGAGACATTTTCCCCATTGTCATGGAAATTAACATTTGGCTCCTTGATACTTACACAAATTTCCACAGCCAGTTTGAATTTTTCCTCAGAAAATGGGTCTTTCTTTTATATTGCATCATCAGGCTGCAAATATTCCAAACTTTTATGCTCTGCTTCCCTTCTAAACAGAAGTTCCAATTCCAAACCATATCTTTGTGAATGCATAAAACTGAATGCTTTTAACAGCACCCAGATCACCTCTTGAATGCTTTGCTGCTCAGAAATGTCTTCCATCAGATACCCTAAATCATCTCTCTCGAGTTCAGTGTTCCACAGGCCTCTAGGGCAAGGGCAAAATGCCACCAGTCTCTTTGCACAGCAAGAGTGGCCTTTGCTCCAGTTCCCAAAAAATTCCTCATCTCCATCTGAGACCACCTCAGCCTGAACTTTATTGTCCATATCACTATCAGCATTTTGGTCAAAGCCATTCAACAAGTCTCTAGGAAGTTCCAAACTTTCCCATATTTCCTGTCTTCCTCTGAGCCCTCCAAACAATTCCAACCTCTGCCTATTACCCAGTTCCAAAGTCACTTCCACATTTTCAGGTATCTTTTCAGCAGCACCCCACTCTACTGGTACCAGTTTACTGTATTAGTCTGTTCTCACGCTGCTAATAAAGAAATACCTGGGACTGGGTAATTTATAAAGGAAAGAGGTTTCATTGACTCACAGCTCCACATGGCTTGGGAGGCCTTACAATCATGGCAGAAGGCAACACTGCTTCAATAGTGGAATACATCTGGACATATGTCTAAAATGTTACAATTAGGTTTTGATGTAGGAGGTAAGTGTAATAATAATTTAAATGCAAATAAATTAAACTCCACAATCAAAAGACATATAGTGGTGAGTGAATTAAAAATAAAAACCTAACTATACACTGTCCATAAGATACTCACTTTAACTTAAGGACACACATAAACTGCACTGAAAGGATGGAAAGAGATATGCCATGCTAACTGGGCACAGTGGCTCATGCTTGTAATCCTAGCACTTTGGGAGACCGAAGCAGGCAGATCAGTTGAGGCCAGGAGTTTGAGACCAGCCTGGCCAACATGGTGAAATCCTGTCTCTACTAAAAATACAAAAATTAGCTGGGCATGGTGGCAGATGCCTGTAATCTCAGCTACTCAGGAGGCTGAGGCAGGAGAATTGCTTGAACCTGGGAGGCAGAGGTTGCAGGAGCACTGCACTCTAGCCTGGGCAATAGAGTGAGACTCCATCTCAAAAAAAGAAAAAAGAGAAAAAGATATGCCATGCAAATAGTAAACAAGAGAGAGTAGGAGTGATTATATTAAACAAAACAGACTGTAAGTAAAAAACTGTCCTGTCACAGGAGACAAGGAAGAACATTTGTATTAGTCAGGGTTCTCTAGAGGAACAGAACTAATAGGATATATATATATATATATATATATATATATGTACATATATATGGACATATAATAAACTTCCATATATATTATTAAGTCACATGATCACAAGGTCCCACAATAGGGTGTCTACAAGCTGAAGAGCAAGGAAGCCAGTCAGAGTCCCAAACCTAAGAACTCGGAGTCTAATGTTCGAGAGCAAGAAGCATCCAGCATGGGAGAAAGATGTATGCTGGGAGGCTAGTCCAGTCTAACTTTTTCATGATTTCCTGCCTGCTTTATATTCACTGGCAGCTGATTAGATGGTGCCCACCAGATTAAGGATGGGTCTGCCTTCCCCAGCCCACTGACTCAAATGTTAATCTCCTTTGGCAACACCCTCACAGACACATCCAGGATCAATACTTTGCATCCTTCAATCCAATTAAGTTGACAGTCAGTAGTAACCGTCACAACATTGTATAATAATCAAAGGGTAATTCACCAGGAATATATAACAATTGTAAATATATGTGCACCCAATATCAAAGCATCTAAACACATAAAGCAAACATTGACAGAACTGAAGGGAGAAATAGGCAGCAATACAATAATAGCAGGAGATTTCAATACCCCATTTTCAATAATGGACAGAACATCTGGACAGGAGATTAATAAGGAAACAGGACTTGAACTACAATTTAGATCAAATGGCCATCACAGACATATGCAGAATAGTCCACCTAATAGCAGCAAAACACACGTTCTTCTCAGGCATATATAGGTCTTTCTTCAGGATAGATCATGTTAAGTCACTAAACTAATTTTAGCATTATTAAGAAGATTCAGGTTAGCCATGGTGTCTCACACCTGTAATCCCAACACTTTGGGAGGTCAAGGCAGGTGGGTCACTTGAGGTCAGGAGTTTGAGACCAGCCTGGCCAAGATGGTAAAACTCCATCTCTACTAATACAAAAAAATTAGCCAGGTGTGGTGGCGTGCACCTGTAATCCCAGCTATTGGGGAGGCTGAGGCACAAGAATCGCTTGAACTCAGGAGGTGGAGGTTGCAGTGAGCCAATGTCGCACCACTTGTACTTCAGTCTGGGTGACAGAGTGAGACTGTGTCAAAAAAAAAAAAAAAAGAAGAAGATTGAAATCGTATCAGGTATCTTTTCTGAATACAATGAAAACAAATAGAAATCAATAGAAGAAGGAATTTGGAAAATTCATAAACACATGGAAATTAACACACTTCTGAATAACCACTTGGTCAAAGGAGATATCAAAAGTTAAATCAGAAAATTCCTCTATAGACAGGCCGGGCGCTGTGGCTCATGCCTGTAATCCTAGCACTTTGGTAGGCCAAGGTGGGTGGATCACGAGGTCAGGAATTCAAGACCAGTCTGGCCAAGATGGTGAAACCCCGTGTCTACTAAAAATGCAATAATTAACCAGGTTTGGTGGCAGGCGCCTGTAATCCCAGCTACTCGGGAAGCTGAGGCAGGGAATTGCTTGAACCTGGGAGGCAGAGGTTGCAGTGAGCAAAATCACACCACTGCACTCTAGCCTGGACAACAGAGCAAGACTCCATCTCAAAAAAAAAAAAAATTCCTCTAGACAAACAAAAACACAACATATCAAAACTTATGGGCTGCAGCAAAAGCAGTACTAAGTTCATAGTGATAAACAGGTGCATTAAAACATAAGAAAGATTTGAAATAAACAACCCAAATTTATACCTTGAGGAAGTAGAAAAAAAAGAACAAAGTAAGCCCAAAATTAGCAAAAAGAAGGAAATAACAAACAGTAGACTAGGAGTAAATGAAATAGAAAATAGAAACATAATAGAAAAAAATCAGCACAGCTAAGAGTTGGTTTTTTGAAAAGATAACTAAAATCAAACTCTTAGCTAGACTAAGAAAAAGAAGAGTCAAATAAGTAAAATCAGAAATAAAAGAATAGACATTACAACTGATGCCACAGAAATACAAAAGGTCATAAGAGACTACTATGAAAAATTATAAGCCAACAAACTAGATAAACTGGAAAAAAATGGATAAATTGCTCATACAACCTACCAAGACTGAATCAGGAAGAAATAGAATGCCTGAACAGACCAATAGCTAGTATGGAGATTGATTCAATAATCAAAAACTTCCCCAAAAAGAAAAGTCCAGGACCAGGCTTCCATGGTGAACTCTACTTTAAAGACAAATTAATGTCAATCCTTTTTGACCTCTTCAGAAAAATTAAAAAGGAAGGAAAGGTTCTAAACTCATGAGGTCAGCTTTATGCTGATACCAAAGACAGACAAAGACACCACAAGAAAACTACAGCTCAATATTCCTAAAGAATATCGATGTAAAAATTTTCAACAAATACTAGCAAAACAAATCCAACAGCACATTAAAAAGATCATACACCATGACCAGGTGTAATTTATGCCTGAGATACAAAGATTTCAATATATGAAATCAACTAATCTGATACAGCATATTAGCAGAATAAAAAATAATCATCACATGATTCTCTCAGTTGATACATAGGCATTTCACAAAATTCAACATGATAAAAACGCTTTGTTGATGAAAATTTCCAACACATAGTAATAGAGGGAAATGATCTCAACATAATAAAGTATATATGCAAAGCCCACAGCTAACATCATACTCAACAGAAAAAAATTGAAAGTTTTTCCTCTAAGATAAATGAGACAAGGGTGCCAACTCTTGCCGCTTTTATTCAACACAGTACTGGAGATTCTAGCCAGAATAGCTAGGCAAGAAAATGAAATATAGGCTGGGTGTGGTGGCTCACACCCTATAATCCCAGCACTTTCGGAGGCCGAGGCGGGCAGATCACCTGAGGTCAGGAGTTCAAGAGCAGCAGCCTGGCCAACATGGTGAAACCCCATCTCTACTAAAAATACAAAAATTAGCTGGGCGTGGTGGCAGGCACCTGTAATCCCAGCTACTCTGGATGCTGAGGCAGGAGAATCACTTGAACTGAGGAGGCGAAGGTTGCAGTAAGCCAAGATCACACCACTGCGTTCTGGCCTGGGTGACAGAGCAATACTGTCTCAGAAAAAAAAAAAAAAAAAAGGAAAATGAAATATAAGACTTACAATTGGAAAGGAAGAAATAAAATTGTCCCTGGTTGCAGATGACATACTCATATATAGAAAACCCAAAGACTTCCTTTAAAAAAGGTTAGAACACAATTATTACCATGACTCTGATGTAGCGACAATATCAACACATTTCAAAAGAAAATACCCAGATAATTTGTCCTCTTTGAGGGCAGGGAACATGTCTTAGTCATGTTTGTTTACCCAGTACCTACAAAGAGCCTGAAACAGTAGACAGTGAAGGTAAATGCTTGCTGAGAGAAGGTTGTAGTATATTACCATATTGATAAATTGTAGTTTTTGAATATTCATGGAAATAAGTGGCATATAGGCCAAGAACTATTATTATATACTTTTATTAATGTAAGTTTAAGTAACAGAGCACAATGTTGATTTAGTTGGTGGTAAATAAAGCTGGCAACTACCTCACAACAAAAAATTTAAAAATTCAAAAATTAAAAAAGGTCAGAGCAAGTAAACAAATTCAGTAAAGTAGTAGAATACAGAATCAACAAGGATCAATTGCATTTCTGTACACTAACAATAAACTATCTGAAAAGGAAATTAGAAAAATAATCCCATTTACAGTAGCACCAAAAATAATAAAATACGTAGGAACAAACCTACTAAGGAGATGAAAGATTTCTATTCTAAAAACTACAAAACATTGATGAAAAAAGGTGCACAAGACACAGGAAAATGGAAAGTTATCCCATGTTCATGGATTGGAAGACTTAATATTATTAAAATGTTCATTCTTCCTGAAATGATCTGCAGACTCACTGAATTCCTATCAAAATCCCAGTGGCATTTTAAAATAAAAATAGAATAAATAATTCTAAAATTCATATGGAGCTATAAAAGACCACAAATAACCAAATCAATCTTGAGAAAGAACAAAACTGGAGGCACTACATTTTCTGATTTCAAAATATATTACAAAGCTACAGTAATTAATACAGTAGGTACTGGCATAAAGATAAACATAAACCAATGGGACAGGATAGAGAGCCTCAAAATAAATTCACACATACACAGTCAACACACCATTCTCCTGCCTCAGTCTCCCGAGTAGCTGAGACTACAGGTGCCTGCCAACATGCCCGGCTAATTTTTGTTTGTATTTTTAGTAGAGATGGGGTTTCACCGTGTTAGCCAGGATGGTCTCAATCTCCTGACCTCGTGATCCACCTGCCTCGGCCTCCCAAAGTGCTGGGATTACAGGTGTGAGCCACCGTGCCTGGCCATCTTTATTTATTTTTAATTAATTAATTAATTTTTTTGAGACAGAGTTTCACTCTGTCACTTAGGCTGGAGTGCAGTGGCACAATCTTGGTTCATTGCAAACTCTGCCTCCCAGGTTCAAGTGATTCTTCTGCCTCAGCCTCTCGAGTAGCTGGGATTACAAGTGCACGCCACTACGCGTAGCTAATTTTTGTATTTTTAGTAGAGATGGGATTTCGCTATGTTGGCCAGGCTGGTCTTGAACTCCTGACCTCAAGTGATCTGCCCACCTCAGCCTCCCAAAGTGCTGGGATTACAGGCATGAGCCATTGTCCCTGGTCTATTTTTAATTTTTTTTGAGAGACAGAATCTGACTCTGTTGCTCAGGCTGGAGTACAGTGGCACAATAATGGTTCACTGCAGCCTCGAACTCCTGAGTTCAAGGATCCTTCTGCCTCAGCGTCCCCAGTAACTATAATTACAGGCATGTGTCACCAGGTCCAGCTAATTTTTAAATTTTTTTGTGAAGATGGGGTCTCACTGTGTTGCTCAGACTGATTTTAAAGTCCTGGCCTCAAGTGATCCTCTCTTCTTGGCTTTCCAAAATGCTGGGATTACAGGCATCTGTACCTGGCCCAGTCAACAGGTTTTTGACAAGGGTGCCAAGATAACACAATGGGGAATAGATGTTATCCTAAACAAATGGTGCTGGGAAAACTGGATATCTATATGCAGAGAATGAAATTGGACCCTATACCTGTAATCCCAGCACTTTGGGAGGCCGAGGCAGATGGATCACAAGGTCAGGAGATTGAGATCAACCAGGCCAACATGGTGAAATCCCATCTCTACTAAAAATACAAAAATTAGCTGGGTGTGGTGGTGCATGCCTGTAGTCCCAGCTACTTGGGAAGCTGAGACAGGAGAATCGCTTGAACCCAGGAGGCAGAGGTTGCAGTGAGCTGAGATGGCGCCACTGCACTCCAGCCTGGTGACAGAGCAAGACTCCGTCTCAAAAAAAAAAAAAAGAAGAGAGAAAAGAAATTGGACCCTTATCTAACGCCATCCACAGAGTAAACTCCAAATGTGGTCTAAGTGGTGGTGCCTATAATCTCAGCTTCTTAGAAGGCTATGGCAGGCTGGGCACGGTGGCTCACGCCTGTAATCCCAGCACTTTTGGAGGCCGAGGTGGGCAGATCACCTGAGGCGGGAGTTTGAGACCAGCCTGACCAACATGGAGAAACCCCGTCTCTACTAAAAAATACAAAATTAGCTGGGTGTGGTGGCGCATGCCTGTAGTCCCAGCTGCTCGGGAGGCTGAGGCAGGAGAATCACTTGTACCCGGGAGGCAGAGGTAGCGGTGAGCCGAGATCGCGCCATTGCACTCCAGCCTGGGCGACAAGAACGAAACTCTGTCTCAAAAAAAAAAAAAAAAAAAGAAAAAGAAAAAAAAATAAGGCTATGCCAGGAAGATCAATTGAGCCCAAGAATTCAAGACCAGCCTGGGCAACATAGAAAGACCCAGTCTCTTAAAAAAATAAAAATAAAAATAGATTAGAAACATCAGACTCAAAATAGTAAAACTCCTAGAAGAAAACGTTAAAAGCTTCATGACTTTGGTCTTGGCAGTGATATTATGGATATGACACCAAATGCACAGGCAACAAAAGCAAAATAAACAATAGTCTGGATGTTCCTCAAAAAACTTAAAGTAGAACTACCATTTATCCAGCAATCTCCCTTCTAGGTCTTTGTCCAAAAGAATTGGAACCAAGATCTTAAAGAGATATTAGTACTCCTATTTTCATTGCAGCACTATTCATAATAACCAAAATGTGGAAATAAACTCAATGTTCATTGACAGATGAATGGATGAAGTGGGCAAATACATACAATAGAATACTATTCAGCCTTTAAAAAGAAGAATTTCTGCAATATGAGACAACATGGATGAACCTTGAGGACATCATGCTAAGTGAAATAAGCTAGTCACAGGAAGATAAATACTGCATGGTTCCACTTTTATGAGATATCTAAAATAATCAAATTCATAGAATCAATGAGTGAAATGGTAGTTTCCAAGGGCTGGGGGAAGGAGGAAATCGGAAGTTACTAATTAATGGGCATAAAGTTTCAGTGAAGCAAGGTAAATAAGCTCTAGAGATCTGCTGTGCAACATTGTACAATTTCAATAATGTATTATTTTCTTAAAAATTTGTTAAGAGAGTCCAGGTGTAGTGGCTCACGCCTGTAATCCCAGCACTTTGGGAGGCTGAGGCGGGCAGATCACGAGGTTAGGAGATCGAGACCATCCTGGCTAACACAGTGAAACCCCGTCTCTACTAAAAAATACAAAAAAAATGCCAGGTGCCTGTAGTCCCAGCTACTTGGGAGGCTGAGGCAGGAGAATCTCTTGAACCTGGGAGGCAGAGGTTGCAGTGAGCTGAGATTGTGCCACTGCACTCCAGCCTGGGTGACAGAGCGAGACTCCGTCTAAAAAAAAAAAAAAAAAATTTGTTAAAAGAGTAAATCTGCCAGGCGCGGTGGCTCATGCCTGTAATCCCAGCACTTTGGGAGGCCGAGGCTAGTGGATCACGAGGTCAGGAGTTCAAGACCATGCTGACCAACATGGTGAAACCCCGTCTCTACTAAAAACACAATAATTAGCTGGGCGTGGTGGCAGGCGCTTGTAGTCCCAGCTATGTGGGAGGCTGAGGCAGGAAAATTGCTTGAACCTGGGAGGCAGAGGTTGCAGTGATCCGAGATCGTGCCACTGCACTCCAGCCTGGGTGACAGAGTGAGACTCTGTCTCAAAAAAAGGAGAGTAGATCTCATGTTAAGTGTTCTTGCCACAAAACATGTTTTAAATATAAAAGGGAGGATAGTGCCTAAATCAAGAAACTTGAATTGACACAACTTATTCCAAAATCCCTGGGAGATTTCTACTTCTTTAAAAAGAAATGTGCTATCTGTAAGGTCACTCTTAGCTGCAAGAGAGACAGGATATTTTTAAGTTTACGTTGTCATCCAAACTTGAATTGGATTTCTGTTACTAAGGAAGAAGCAGAAAATGGATATTAAGCAGGTAATTTGTCATAGTCCATTCATTGGACTGTGAATGGCTTAACACACCATATTGTAAATATATTTTTTGAAATCTGTTTCTTTCCCTAGACTGTAAGATCAGGACTGATTTTTTTAAATGTCTGTATCCCCTCATTTGGCAAAGTATTTTGCACATAGTATATGCTAAGTATTTATACATGATTTGCTATTGAATGTTTCCTGTGGATTAGTTTATTATGAGTAAAAATTAGGAAAACTTTATTACCAGCAAAAAGTAGGGAGGAAGTTAGGAAAAATTATCACTAAAAATGTTAGCATATGTGACTTCTTCTTGATACTTTTAATTTTTGTACTAATTAATTGATTTTTAGTATATCATAAAAACCCTATTTCTTATATAATTATAAGGTAACTTCAGAACATAAAAACTTACAAGAATATCACAAGTATCTTAGTCCATTCATGCTGCTATAACAAAATACCATAGTGTGAGTGGCTTATAAAAAACAGAGATTTATTTTTCAAAGCTCTAGAGGCTAAGAAGTTTAAGATACGATACTGGCAGATGCAGTGTCTGGTAAGGGTCTACTTCCTCATAGACAGCTGTCTTCTCATTCTAACCTCACACGGTGGAAGGGCTGAGGGTTCTCTCTCAGGCCCATTTTATAATGGCAGTAATCTTATTAATGAGGGAAATAACCCTATAATCTAATAATATCCCAAATGCCCCGCCTCCCAATACCATCATTTTGGAGGTGAGGAGTTCAACATTTGAATTTTGGGGGAACATAAACATTCAGACCACAAGAACAATAATTTATTTGTTTATATTAAAAGGAACCATCTTCTCTGCCTCACAGTTTTCCTACCTGGCTCTTAAAATAGAAATATGTTTCTTTCAGAACTATAGAGTCAAGAGGAAATTTCATCTTTCTTTCTGCCACTTTCCCCAAGTGGAAGGAGTTTTGTATTTAATTGGTGATTTGGGGAGAAAAACATAAAACCCAAGCCATTTCTTGCCATCTTTTTCAAATCTTCCCACCCACAAGAAATTATATTCTGCTCAGTTCCTCAATATATGTCATAAACTAAAAACACACGGATTAGGGCCTATGCTTGTCTTCTAGAACAGGCCTGAGGCCTAACTCTCATTCTTTCTACTGTTGATCTCACCAAGCAGAAACAGTGATTCTACACAAGTCTATCCATCGTGCAGACTCAAATTCTCCTGTGGCGAGTCATCACCCATTTGGACTTAGGAAGTATTTGACCAGCTTGGCCAACATGGTGAAACCCCGTCTCTACCAAAAATACAAAAATTAGCTGGGCATGGTGGCAGGTGCCTGTAATCCCAGCTACTCGGGAGGCTGAGGCAGGAGAATTGCTTGAACCCAGGAGGCAGAGGTTGCAGTGAGCTGAGATCACGCCACTGCACTCCAGCCTGGGTGACAGAGTGAGACTCCGTCTAAAAAAAAAAAAAAGAAATATTGAAAAACCTGGTCATGGTTGTATATTATAATACATCCAATCAGCTTTATCTTAGGAAGCTTTTTTGAAATGAAGTCTCACTCTGTCACCCAGGCTGGAGTGCAATGGCATAATATCACTGCTCACTGCAGCCTCTACCTCCTTGGCTCAAGCGATCCTCCTACCTCAGTCTCCCAAGTAGCTGGGACTACAGACATATGCCACATGCCTGGCTAATTTTTCAAACATTTTGTAGAGATGGAGTCTCCCTATGCTAGGCTGATCTTGAACTCCTGGACTCAAGCAACTCTCCCACCTCGGCCTTCTGAAGTGCTGGGCTTATAGTCATGAGCCACCATGCCAAGCCGAGAAGTTGGTATTTTATCTTTTTGGCTTCCTATCAATTGGGTCTGAATTCAGGGAAGAGTTAAGATGTGTGAGCAGCTATCACTGCCTAAGCCCCATTAATGACAGGATAGTAATACATTTTTTAATAGGTAACTCTAACCAAAAGTAGTTGTTTTATGAGAACCTAGGTCTAGCAAAAGAAATAAACTTAAATCTTGCCAGTCTAACAATAAGGGAATAAAATATCCCAGCAGCCAAGTGTGGCAGCTTATGTCTGTAATCCCAGTATCTTGGGAGTCCGACACAGGAGGATTGCTTGAGCCCAGGAGGTCAAGGCTAAAGTGAGCCTTGGTTGTAGCACCATGTTAAAGCCTGGGTGACAGAGTGAGACCCTGTCTCAAAAAAAAAAAATTTTTTTTGTTTATTTATGAATGCCTACTGTGTGCAAGGCAGTGTTCAGAGGAGAAGTTTAAAGAGTTAGAATACTAATACTTTAAACAAAAGTTACCTGGTACTCTAATTTTATTGTTTGAGTTTTGAATTGCTATAATGATCAAGGCAAAGAAATATCATAATTATAACATTTGAGTGCTTATGGCTTGTCAAATGAGCAGTTTCCTGCGAAACAATATCTGATTGAATCCTCAAAACAACTCTGTGAGACAATACATGAGAATAGTCTAGGTTGTGCTGCAGTTGGGAGAAAAAGCAAATGTTTAACAAAAAGTTAGCTCTGGCTGCAGGCAACTCTCCAGGCAACTGTCTTCCATGCAACAACGTGATAATCCAGGCAGCTTCAACCTTGTGGTGCTGCCATCTTAAGATGAATCTTTTTCCATGGTTGCCACAGTCGGGAAAGAAAAAAATTTCATATCGACCTTTTACTGCCACATCCTGAAGGTGACACACGTAAAATCTACAGTTTTCACTGGCCAGACCAAGTCACATGGCTCCATTCAGTTGTAGGGTCGCTGAGGAATACAGTCAATCCACTGAGTGGCCAGAAAGGAAAGAGAAGTAAATATTGATTAACAAAGCAATATGTAGCATAAATAGCTATTATGACTGTTGTTTTTATATAGGTGAAGAAATGTAGGCTTAGAAAAATTAAGTTATTCATCCAAAGGTACATATAAGGTAAGTAGGGGAGCCTCAGCATATGGACCTATCTGACTCCAGAGCCTGTGCCTAACTTCTATCTTCCATTACCTCCCAGCACCGCACTGGAAGCCTGGCAGAACCTAGCCACCACTAGGGATATTTAATTCAATTCATATACATTCAGTTCAATTCAAATCAGCATATATTTGCTAAATGCTTTCTCTTTGCCAGGCATTGCAGCTGCATCTGGAGGAGGGTTGAGCTATTTCACCATATAGATCTCCTACGACTTTGAGACTGTGATGTAAAGAAATAGGCAACTGTGATGGTTATTTTATTTGACAACTTGGCTGGGCTGTGGTACCCAGATATTTGGTTAAACGTTATTCTGGATGTTTTGGTGAAGGTGTTTTTGGATGAGATTAACATTTTAACCAGTGGATTTTAAGTAAAGCAGATTACTTTCCATAATATGGACGGGCCTCATCAATCGGTTGAAGGCCTTCATAAATCAAAGACTGACCTCCCCAGAGAAGGAAGGAATTCTGCCAGCAGGTTGCCTTTGGACTCAAGCAGAAACTGAGTCCCCACAATCATGTGTGCCAATTCCTTAAAATAAACATCTATATCTATAATATCTATATGTATACACATTCTGTTGGTTTGGTTTCTCTGGACAACCCTAACTAATATAACAAGCTTAAAAATTAGTTCTATAAAACAGGGCTAAGAAATGATTCTTTATTATACTTTAAGAACAAGATCCTCTGCAATCCCTATTTACTTTTATCTTTGAATGTTAAGTAAAAATAGCAGAATTCTAAAATAACCTACAGAAATAAGTCAAGATTCATTATATTTTCTATAATACAAGAAGTTTTACAAAGCTATTCATCATAAAATACATAAATTTTTGCAAGGAACCTTGTGGACTGAAAAAACAGCCAAAACAAATCTGCCACATACAGGCCCCAGAATGTGGTTTTATAATCTGTCCACTTAGGAAACTGTTCCAATTATCTTCACAAATTCAGTATTGTGAGAATGTGTCTAGGTGTTAATTATCATTTTAGAAGGAAGTCAGCTCTCCTACACAGCTAAGAATGCTAACAGTCTCCAATTTTAACTTGTTCTCTTATACAAGATGCTGTTTTGGGAAGTATTTAGTTGCCCCCTGCTGGCCATACAATTGCAGGATTCATTTTTTAAAAAGTTCTCAGTAGATTGCAGATGATAATGATAAACTTCTGAAGAGATGCATTCAACTTTTTCATCAGATGAATTCACAATAGACTTCCAATGCTCAATTGAGATACGTAAGTTAATAAAAAAAATTTTTTTCCCCACCACCTGGTATAGGGTGAAATGTTCCAGCAGGAAGACTTTAAGCTAGATCAGTGGGAGAACAGGATGAGATGTAGGAGGAGTGACTGAGGGGCTTCACAGGCTCCCTTTCTTCTTTAACTTTTGTTTTAGGTTGAGGAGTACATGTGCACGTTTGTTATATAGGTAAACTCATGTCATGGGGGTTTGTTTTACAGATTATTTCGTTACCCTGGTACTAAGCCTAGTACCCAGAAGTTATTTTTTCTGCTCCTCTCTCTTCTCTCACCCTCCACCCTCAAGTAGGCCCCAGTGTCTGTTTTTCCCCTGTTTGTGTCCATGAGTTCTCATCATTTAGCTCTCACTTATAAGTGAGAACATGCAGTATTTGGTTTTCTGTTCCTGTGTTAGTTTGGTAAGGCTAATGGCCTCCAGCTCAATCCATGTTCCCACAAAAGACATGATCTCATTCTTTTTTATGGCTGCATAGTATTCCATGGTGTCTATGTACCACATTTTCTTTATTCAGTCTACCATTGATGGGCATTTAGACTGATTCCATGTCTTTGCTATTGTGAATAGTGCTGCCCAAAATTCCTAAACACAATTTTCTTTCTATAATACTCATGTCATATTTTATGTCTCTTCATATCCTTTTTAAAACCATATGGAAATAATTTACCAAATTGAGAGGAAAAAAACACTTGTTCAAGAAGCTTAAAAACTATATTTTTATCCTGTCTCTGCTACTAACTCTCAGGCTAATCTTGAGCAAGACTCTTTAACTTTTGGCAGTGATAAATATGTTTACAAATTTTGATTTTCATTCCCGAAAGTTTCTTCATGCTATTTTGTAATTTCTTCTTCCTGCCACTCTTGGGACTTTCCCATCCTCAAGTTACCACTGATCCACTCTCTGTCACTGCAGATTAATTTGCATTTTCTTGATAAGAAAATTATTTTATTTTATTTATTTATTTTTGTTTTGAAACAGAGTTTCGCTCTTTTTGTCCAGGCTGGAGTGCAATGGCGTGATCTCAGCTCACTGCAACCTCTGCCTCCCAGATTCAAGTGACTCTCCTGCCTCAGCCTCCCAAGTAGCTGGGATTACAGGCACGTGCCAACATGCCTGGCTAATTTTGTATTTTTAGTAGAGATGGGGTTTCATCATGTTGGCCAGGCTGGTCTCAAACTCCTGACCTCAGGTGATCTGCTAGCCTCGGCCTCCCAAAGTGCTGCGATTACAGGCATGAGCCACCATGCCTGGCCGAAGAAAATAATTTTTAAGCTTACTAGCTAAGACACTTTATAAAATGAGATATGGAAAAAATGTAAATGCTTTATAAATATTTTTAAAAATTGAGTTTCCCTATCTTGAAACCTGAGGTGCAGTGTGATGCAGTGGTTAAAAGCTTAACCTTGGGGCCAGGCACGGTGGCTCACACCTGTAATCCCAGCACTTTGGGAGACTGAGGCAGATGGATCACCTGAGTTCAGGAGTTCGAGACCAGCCTGGCCAACATGGTGAGACCCCATCTCTACTAAAAATTTAAAAATTAGCCAGGCATGGGGGTGCATGCCTGCAATCTCAACTACTTGGGAGGCTGAGGCAGAATAATTGCTTGAACCTGGGAGACAGAGGTTGCAGTAAGCTTAGATAGCACCACTGGAAAAAAAAAAAAAAAGCAAAAAGCTTAAACTTTTAAGCCAGCAAATGCGGGCCTAGGTCTTGGGTCTTGGCTCTGTTATTTACTAGCTGTATGATGTTGGGCAAGTTACTCAACACCCTGAGGTTAACAGTTTCCCCATGCTTAGAGAAACAGATAATAATAGCATCTATCCTCATAAAGATGTTGTGCAATTGCATACAAAACACTTAGCTCAGTGCTGGGCCTGTACATAAAAAACCTCAGGGTTGACTACCAATGGTAGTCATCTATCTTTAGACATTTCAAAGAGCATCACCTTAATTCTAAGAAAAGGAAATGAGAAATGAGAACCCTGGCCATGCAGCCAGTGCAATCCTAAGGCAATCATTTTAGAAATGTTTTGTGAGGATTATCATAGTTCACTGTGTCAGACATGGTATCCAGCTGACTCTGACTCAAGCCCTTTTCTTAAGCACCCCATTGGTTTTCTTTCCTCATAACTCTTTCTCCAAGTGTCATGGTATCCCTTTCTTTGTAATTCCATTCCTCCCCCTCAAACATATGACCTGACAGTCATCTCATTTCACCTTTGTGATTTGACATATAACTTGGCCAGAGCAGAGTGATAGTCATCACTTGAGATGGCAGGCATGGTGGAAATAGAGATAATTGAAGAAACAAGGCTTATTTGTGAAAAATGTTCTTTAATAGTTTTATCCCTTGTATTCAAGTACTTCTGTTGCTCTTTTTTGAGCTCTGCCAGGTTTACACTTATTAAATTTCTCTCCCTACAATGGAAACTACTTGAACCCCACTTGCCAGCCTAGCCCAATTTAGTATCTTGGGCCAATTCTAATTTTATGAAAGAGAGAGTTAAGATGCTGTATCTTGAGATTTGCATAGAGAAAGCACCTTTAGCATGCTTTCTTCCATGAACTTTTAGCACTGCCTCATTATAGTGTAGAGAAATATATGGGTAGGGGGTAATTAATTTCTGAGGAGGAGAACCTCCTGCCTACCATCCCTCCTAACTTGTAGCATACCATTTATACAAGTTTATTCTCTTCTGCTATCTTAGCCTGGCTTCTTCCCTGAAATCGGAGTCTGAGACAATAACTTCTGTGCGGATAGTTGATTTTGGGAAGAGATCCCAGTGAATAGGAGTGAGGGGCTAGGAAAATTAAGACATGAAAGGAAGGAAAGCTAACTCAAGAATACATTAATCAATCTGAACATTGTTGTAGGTAACTCAGGCTCATTTCTCTGGATCTTTGAATAGCTACCTAGAATTGTCTGCCTTCCCCCAATGTGGCAGACATATCCTAAGGTAACCCCCAATGATCTCTGCCTTCTGGTATTAATGACCTTCTTTATGCCCCTCACCGTAAGACTGGGTAGAACTTGTGAACTGCTTCCAGCCAGAAGAATAAGGCAAAGGTGATAGGATGTTACTCCCATGATGTAATGTAATACATGCATTACAATATATGACAAATGTGATGGGATATCACTCCCATGATTATGTTATATTATGTAAGAATCTGTCTTGATAGCCGACTCACTCTCTCACTTTCCTGCTGGTCTTGAAGAAACAAGTTGTCATGTTATGAACTGCCTATCGGAGAGGACCATGTGGCAAAGAACTCAGAGGTGGCTTGTAGAAGCTGAGAGCCAACAGAAACAAAACAAAACAAAATCTTGAAGCTCTCAGTCCTGTGACTGTAAGGAAATGAATTCTCCCAACAACTTGAGAGAGTTTGGAAGAAGATTCTTCTTTCTTCAGGCTTTCAGATGGGAACATGGTCCAACCAACACCTTCACTGTAGCCTGGAGAGACCCCAAAGTAGAAAACCCAACTAAGGTGTATCTGGACTCCTGACCTACAGAAAGAGAGATAGTAAATGTGTGTTATTTTAATGTGTTCAACTTGTGTTAATTTGTTACATCGAATTGGAAAACTAATAGAGATTTTGGTGCCTAGAGGTAGAATGCTACTGTAATAAATATGTAAAAATATGTCTGTGGCTTTGAAACTGATCAGTGGACAGAGACTAGAAGAATGCTTGAAAAGTATGATAGACAAATCCCAAATCACTGCGAACAAACTCTCAGTAGAAATGTGGATATTGAAGACTGCTGTTGAGGACTCAGAAGGAAGTAAGGAACATGCTATAGGAAACTGGAAGAAGGGAGATCCTTGTTATGTACTGGCGTAAAGCTTAGTGAAATTATTTCTTGCAATTACGTTGAAAGCAGAACTTGTAAATGGATGAATTTGGTTATATAGTTAAGGAGATTTCCAAGCAAAGTGTTGAAGGGGACAACTGGTTTCTTCTTGCTACTTACAGGAAAATTCAAGAAAAGAGACAAATTGAGAGAAGAACTATTAAGCAAAAAGGAATCAGGACTTGATAATTTAAAAAATCCTCATCTTCCCCAGATGGCAAAAAATATTAACAGTTGGAGATGGCTTTTGGGCACTGTCAGAAAAGCCTACTCTAGAGAAAATGCACTTGAAGTTACTCTATAATCTTTTTTAAAGCCCCCAAAAGATCAAAGGTCAGAGTACTCAGGGGTATTTCAAGATACGGCCCTTAGATTTGAAAAGATCTAAGGGTATGCCTCAGATCCTCTCAATCACACTATTGAGCCTCTAGGAAGCTTAAAGGAGATGGAATTATTTTTGAAACAATCTGTAGATGTGGCCTTTGTCTGATAAGAGTGAATGCCACTGAAATACAGAAAGAACCACAACATTCTTGAGAAAATTATTTCTGCAGAAACAGTGCCAACTTGGAATAAGACAGACAGAAAGACTAGAAAATGAAAAGAGGCTGTCAGACCTCCAAAATTTTACTGGCAGAAAGCAGGCTGATAAAACTACTCATCTGCAAACACATGCTACCTTCCATGAAAAAGGAAGAATGACTCAGATGGTGGAACCAAGAACCCAGAAAGCAGAGCCAAGAGCCATGAAGAATCATTCCCAAGCCTAGAAACTTAATTAAGGAACTTCCAATAAATCCAGTTGTATTTCAAAACTGCTATAGACTAGTGACTCCTTTTTACTACCCATTTCCCCTATTTTTAAACTGGAATGTCTATAGCTATTATCCTGTGTCTGTCCCACCATTGTATGTTGGGTGTGTTGGAGGCAGATAACTCATTTCCTTGGTTTCAGAGGTCCATAGTTAGAGAATAATTGTGTCCAGGAGCTTTACTTAACAGGTTATACGTAGGAGGCTCATCTGCACCTGGACTTGATTCACATGATGAAATTTTAGAATTTGAGCTGATGCTATAATGAATGAAACTCTTGGGAACTGATATGGTTTGTCTCTGTGTCCCCACCCAAATCTCATCTTGAATTGTACTCCCACAATTCCCATGGGTTGTGGGAGGGGCCCTGGTGGGAGATAATTTGAATTATGGGGGAGGTTCCCCCATACTGTTCTCATGGTAGCAAATAAGTCTCACGATATCTGATGGTTTTATCAGGGGTTTTATCAGGGGTTTCCACTTCTGCATCTTCTTCATTTTCTCTTGCCGCCGCCATGTAAGAAGTACCTTTCACCTCTCAGCATGATTCTGAGGCCTCCCCAGCCATGTAAGTCCAATTAAACCTCTTTTTCTTCCCAGTCTCAGGTATGTCTTTATCAGCAGTGTGAAAACGGACTAATACAGGAACCTTGGAAGGGGAGAAACCATATATTTCATATGGGAGGGCCTGAGGAAAGACTGGCAGACAGAACCTAGGCTGATTCTCCAATGACCCCCACTTTCTGATATCAATGCCCCTGTTAATTACATCCCATGAATATGGGAGGAATCTGTGAAGCATCTAACTTATAGAATATGGCAAAGGTGACAGAATGGCATTCCTATGATAACATTATGTTATGTAAGACTTCATATTGCTAGTAGACTCTTCTGCTGGCCATGAAGAAGCAAACTGCTATGTTGCTGCCTATGGAGTAGACCACATGGCAGGCAACTTGAATGGACTCTAGGAGCTAATGGCATCCTCCAGCTGACAGCCAACCAGCACACTGAAGCTTTCAGTCCTATATCCTCAATGAAATAAATTCGTTCGGCAAACCATATGAGCTTGGGAGCAGATGAGCTTCCCAATGAGAACACAGCCCACCTGATGCATTGACTCTAGCCTGGAGAGACCTGGAAGCAGAAAATCCAAATAAGCTGTGTCTGTACTCTTGACCACAGAAACTGGGATATAATACATGTTATTGTTTTAGGCTGCTAGATTTGGTAACTTGTTATCCAGCAATAGATTACAAGTGCAGTCAAAGATTGTCCCAGAGAGTGTTAACTTCTTTACTCTTCCAGGTTGTACATGCCTAAGCGCAGAGTGGGTTCTCATTGGCATCCATGCCATATCATCAGAGCAGCACAGGTTTTGAAATGATAAATATGTGGTACAGTTGCACAAAACTGGTTGCCATAGCAATAGTTGGTATAAAAGGTAGGCTGAAAGGATGTGAAAAAGATTATTCTAGTTTGTCTCATCCTGGCTACCATTTCAGGGAGTCTGTGTTGCTTGACTGGGTGGGGGCAACCAGATCATCATCTCTGAAGGGTCTGAACTCTAATTCTTGCTCTTCAGTGAGTCTTAATTATTACAATTACCCATTTATACTTATCACCAGACATGGAGCACGAAGAAATAACTCAGTGAATCCTATGTGTTCCATGCATCGGACTTCCTGTCTCCATTGGGTAGCAGCAACTCTATTTCATATGGGTAATCAAGGTCAGTTATCACCACCAAGATAGTAAGTGTTTTCATTGATGGTCCACTGACACAAGTGATCTAAAATGATCATGTGATAGTTATAGTTTCCAGTTCAATGGAGACTTCATGTGTGCCCTCATAGAAGTCCCCTTCATACCAAACAAGTGCTTCTAATCCTGAAAAGCCTAAGAATGCACAGATAGGAAGCCCAAATTCTGCAAAGGGGTCAATGGGAGTGTTGGTGAGAGCCATTCCTACAACCACCCTTTGGTTTCTGGACCTGTATATTCTGGCTATTGGAAACACACCACTAGAAATCAGCTATACTTTTTTTTTTTTTTTTTTTTTTTTTGAGATGGAGTCTCACTCTGTCACTTAGGCCGGAGTGCAGTGGTGCAATCTCAGCTCACTGCAGCCTACACCTCCCGGGTTCCAGCGATTCTCCTGCCTCAGCCTCCTGGGTAGCTGGGATTACAAGCACACGCCACCGCACCCAGCTAATTTTTGTATTTTTAGTAGAGAAAAGGTTTCACCATGTTGGCCAGGCTGGTCTCAAACTCCTGACCTCAGGTGATCTGCCCGCCTTGGCCTCCCAAAGTGCTAGAATTACAGGCGTGAGCCACTGTGCCCAGCCATCAGCTATACATTTAATGCACCTATCTTATTCTTGAGAACAATACCCTATCCTTTTGAAGTGTTAGTCCTGCATGGGTTCCTTGGCTAAGTCTTTATTAGATTATTTTATTGTTCCATTAGGATGGCCAATTTCATGTTTATGCCCCATTATTACACCTATTTTATCATAAAATGGGCTCTTTGATATAAAAAAATAGGTAGAATTCAATGCCAGTAAATCAGGCATTCAGTAAGTTCTTGTACGGTGGGTGGTGCTGACAAAGGTACCTACAACAGTGAAGAAAAATGCATACCCATAATAGGTATCAATTCTGATAAGTACAATTTGCTATCCCCTCCAGGGTTGAAAGAGTCCAATATAATCAATTTCCCACTGAATGGTTGACTAGCCTTCTTAAGGGATGGTGCCATAATGAAGACTTAGCATTTATCTTTGCTGCTAATAGACTGGACAAGCAGCAGTGGCCCAGGAGAGAGGGAGTTCATGCTATTGGATCATTCACAGCCTTTATCCCTGCCACCATGGCCATGTAATTATCATAGGCCCATTGTGTAAACACAGATATTGCTGAGAAGAGAGACTGAATGATTTCTACTAGACAAGTCCTGTCTACTTGGTTGTTTAGTGCTTTCTCTGCAGTATAGGCTCTCTGATAGGCATTGAGGTAGCACACAAATTTCTGCACACTTTGAGCCTACTCCAGTGGTCTACCCATACATTTATTCCTTGGATATTTTTATTTCCCATCTTCCAGTCTTTCTCCTCTAGGCCTGTCTGACTAACCAACCAAGCCAATTGCCATCATTCAAAGGTCCATGTACATCTATACATCAGGCCTTTTCTTCCTTTATAGAAAGTAGTTGATCAGGTACACTGCTTACAGATCTGCAGTTGAGAGAATTTCCCTTCAAGAATACCCTTAAGTAGGGTGGTTGTGTAGCAGCAGTCCATTTGGAGTTAGCACCAACAGATTGAGATGAACTTTCTGTGATTAAGATTCCATGCGCTATTTTGCAACATCATGCATTTAGTCATTTGGAAAATAGTGCTTCATTGAGTTATGCATATCTTCCAAGTGCTGACAGATTTCATGTTGAAATACCCCAAAAAAATCACATGTGTTATTGTCACCACTGATCTCATCAGAAAATTTTTGAAGAATCAAGAAGCTGCCAAATTCATAGAGGTAGATATGAGTTTTAAAAAATTCTAAATTTTGTTTGAAAGCTCAAATGTTATCATTGGCAACAAACGCTGTGAGTTGTTTTCCTTGAAGTGACGGGATCACTTATTTTTGAGAAAAGTTCTGACACATACCTAAGTCTGAATAACTATAGTTTATCTGTCTGTCATTCTTTCAAGTAAAGATAATTTTCCATGTAAAATAGTGGCTTAACTCACGACTCAAGCACAAAAATCATTTTCTTTGAGATAACCTTAGAACTTTGGTGTGCAACAGGAATACATTATGCATTTTGTCTCACAGAATTTTAAAACATACATAATCAAGGGTTGAGATTTAATAAAATTAATCATGCTATTTTATCAAGAATAATATTAAATGAAACTGTCTTGCTTTTCTGGGATATAGCAGTAAATAATTCAATGTCTACTAGTACACTTTTGGTACCACTGCCTTAATTTCTGTTAAAGCACCAACAATTTTACCCACCATTGCCTTTGTTTCATAGTGCAAATGTCAACTCACTGAGAAAGCCAAGTAATGTCTTGGTATTATTGTAAAAATAGTTTTGATCTTGTATATACTTGAAAGGATCTGGGAAATTCCCTGGGGTCTGCAGACCACATTTTATGAACCATGGTCAAGAGAAAAATCTGAGTCCTATGTGGTAGCAATCCACTTTTCACACAATTTGCCCCTCTGAGAAGAGTCTGTGCTGTTTTCACCAATCCTGGCTTTGACGCCTCTCTCATTGGCCTTTTCTGCTTGCTGATATCATGACCATCATATTCCATTCTCGGTTCTAGTTCCGTTTCCCATGTCTAACCATTTATTCTTGTCATCAAAGTAAAGATTCTTTGCCTCTTTTTGTATCTACTTGATCAAATCTCACACAAATCTTTTAATGATTCTATTTTAATTCTTGATCTTTTGTTACCAAACAGGCCCTTCAGGATAGAACTTAATTTCATTCATTATTCTTTTATTCGTACATTATTTATTTATTTTAAAAAAAACATTTTCTGCAGACCTACTATGTCATTTCCCAGAGAGATAGCATTTGCTTTTGGCCTTAAAGGGTGACATTATTTGGACAGGTTAAATGAGTTTAAGTTTTTCAAAATATAATAAATAATACCAGATTTATGGAGGTAAAAACAACAACAATAGTAGGGAGATTGCTTAGGGAAGCTCAAGGAGAATGCACACGGTGAGTAATTAAAGACAAAGCCAGAAAGGCATTGCAGCGTCATCTCATAAAGTATGTTGAATGCTTGAAGTTTATTTTGGTAAGCAATAGGGAGCTACTGGAGATATTTGAGCAGAAGCAGAAGTAATGGTGTGAAACAGGCTCAATATCAGAGTCTGCTTAAGATTTATATGGAGGAAGAATTTGGTGGGAAAAAATAAACTTGAAGCAAGAAAACCAGGTTGGAGGCCTGAACTAGGTGGGTAGGCACAGAAATGGAGATGGATGGAGTTAGATTTTGAGTGCAAGTAAGATCAGTAGGCAGTGGTGAAGAAGTTTTTGTCAAAAATAATTACAGTTTCAAGCATGAATTACTAGGAGAATGGTGAACTATTAATAGAAATCAGATAATCAGAAAAAGGAACAGTTGGTGTGAGGCAAGATGATGAGTTCAGTTCTCTACCTGTTAGGCATATAAGTGGCTATACTCAGCGGGGGCCTATTTGTAAATTTTATACCATTTACAAGAACTGGAACCTAACAGATATTAGAAGATTGTGGTTTAGTTACACTGGCTTGATATGTCTCTTTGCAATATAAATATATTAAAGTGCAGTTGTTATTTTAATTTCCTGTGGAGTTTTTCTCTGGACAAATGTAGCAGGGATATATAGCTCTTCTGTGGTTCATACATCACAAAGATTGCTCTTATAAAATGATATATACTTATTGAGTGAGTGTGTATGTCAGTTATTATGCTAAATTTTACGTATTTTACATCAACTAATCCTTACATCAGCTTTGGTATTAGTATGTGGATTTTTATAAGAGAAATCAAGATGCAAAGAGGTTAAGTAGCTTTCCCAGGGTCAAACCGGAAGCAATGTAATGACATTTGAACCCAGGTTCTGAATGGCCCTTCTCTTTTGACTCTATACTGATAAAGTACCTATTTGCCTCCTTCCCTTTTCCTTTTCATAGAATGAAAGGACATGGTGCCTGTTAGCACAGACTACTGGTCTTTACTCTATGATTGTATCCAGGGATTCATTTAGTGCCTGCTTAGGAGATCTGTCTTAGGAAGGGCTTGTGATCACTGGCTCTTCTTGGGGCAACGACTTTCCTGAGAGAGATATTAAGTAATAAAATTATTTAACTAAAAAGTCACCCCTTAAAAAGAGCAAATAAAACAGTTTTGAATTATAACTATACTAAAGTCATTAAAAAATAACAAAAAGCTACATAAGGTCCTTTGAAACCACTTTAAATTTAGACAAACAGCAGAGAATGCCCTTAATAGCAAGTCTGAAGATCAAAGTGTGGAACTCTTCCTAAAGGAAACACAGAGGATGAAGAGTCTGGAGATTAATGTTGCAGTTGGCTGATGCTCCAACACAGTGCAGTGAGCAGGGATTCACCAAGAGGAAAGATACATCTGTGCTACAGGCTTTACATTGCACTGCCTGGCACTTGGTGAATTCTTAATATATATAAGTTCCTGTCTTTCTCCCCTTTTGTATTTTACAAAATGTTTTTCCACATCTCATTGTATTTACTCTATATAGTAAAAAGAAAACCCTGATGAATAAACTGTTATCATTCCCATTACAGAGGTACATAAACCTTTACTTGTTGAAGCTGAGAATGGCTGGATAATTCTGCAGCGCAATCTCTCCAACCTGAGTGTTCTGGTTTTGCACTCTCCCTGTAGGACTTTGTCATCTGTTCCCTGACCATTGGGCTGTTAACAAAGAGTGAAGGTTTTTCCAGTAGGAGGGGTCTTTCTGGTTGGAGTCCGAACTGAACATAGATCCCACATAAGTAAAGGCCCATGACACTTTTTGTGTAACACAATTAAACTTCCTTCATGCAGTAGCTGAGGGCATTACTGTTAATCCCTTGATGCCTAGGGTTGTGTGGGTGACATCTTTTATAGCAAAGAAATACTAGTTGTTTTACTTCACAGAATTATCAGATAAAGCCTCATGGAAAGTCTCAGACATGAGATAGAGCTTTAAGGACTGGTAGGATTTATATAAACCAGAGAAGCTCTGAAGGTTTGTCAGACATGAAGAAAAGCAAAAGTGTGATGTGATCATGTTCCACAAAGGAGACCTATCTGCCAACAGCATGAAGGGAAATGAAGAGGAGATAAGATTAACTAGATCTTCAAAGTTCAAATGATGGAAGATGTTGACCATGAAAATTTTAAATTTTGGCTATAATCCAGCAATCTCTAACGTTTTTGGCACCAGGGACTAGTTTTGTGGAAGACAATTTTTCCATGGACTGGGGTTGAGGGGATGGTTTTTGGATGATTCAAGCACATTACATTTATTGTGCACTTTATTTCTATTATTATTACATTGTAATATTTAATGAAATAATTATGCAACTCACCATCATGCAGAATCAGTGGGAGCCCTGAGCTTGCTTTCCTGCAACTAGATGGTCTGATCTGGGGGCGATGGGAGACAATGACAGATCATCAGGCACTGGATTCTTATAAGGAATGTACATCCTAGATTCCTCACATGCACAGTTCACAATAGGGTTCCTGCTCCTGCGAGAATCTAATGCCACCACTGATCTGACAGGAGGTGGAACTCAGGTGATAATGCGAGTGGTTGGGGGCAGCTATCGATACAGATGAAGCTTCTCTCACTCACCCACTGCTCACTTCCTGCTATGCAGCCCAGTTCCCAACAGGCCATAGAACTGTACCAGCCTGGGGGTTGGGGACCTCTGCTGTAACCTTTTGTTTTGTTTTGTTTTGTTTTGTTTTGAGGTGCAGTTTCGCTCTTGTTGCCCAGGCTGGAGTGCAATGGTGCGATCTCGGCTAACCACAACCTCCACCTCCTGGGTTCAAGCAATTCTCCTGCCTCAGCCTCCCTAGTAGCTGGGATTGCAGGCGTGCACCACCACGCCCAGCTAATTTTTTTTTATTTTTAGTAGAGACACGGTTTCTCCATGTTGGTCAGGCTGGTCTCAAACTCCCAACCTCAGGTGATATGCCCACCTCAGCCTCCTGAAGTGCTGGGATTACAGGCGTAAGCCACCACACCCGGCCTGCTGTAACCTATTTAAGAAACATTTGGTCCCCTCCCACCAGCCAAGATGCCGAAAGGAAAGAAGACCAAGGGGAAGAAGGTGGCCCCAACCCCTGCTGTCGTGAAGAAGCAGGATGCCAAGAAAGTGGTGAATTCCCTGTTTGAGAAACGGCCTAAGAATTTTGGCACTGGAGAGGACATCCAGCCCCAAAAGGTGCCTCACCTGCTTTGTCAAATGCCCCCACTATATCAGGTTGCAGCAGCAAAGAGCTATCCTCTATAAGCAGTTGAAAGTGCCTCCTACAATTAACCAGTTCACCCAGGCCTTGGATCGCCACATAGCTACTCGGCTGCTTAAGCGGGCCCACAAGTACAGACCAGAAACAAAGCAAGAGAAGCAGAGACTGTTGGCCCAGGCTGAGAAGAAAGCTGCCAGCAAAGGGGATGTCCCCCACTAAGAGATCACCTGTCCTTCGAGCAGGAGTTAACGCCATCACCACCTTGGTGGAGTGCAAGATGGCTCAGCTGGTGGTGATGGCACACCACGTGGATCCCATTGAGCTGGTTGTCTTCCTGCCTGTCCTGTGTCATAAAATGGGGTTCCCCCACTGCATTATCAAGGGGAAGGCAAGACTGGGATGTTTAGTCCACAGGAAGACCTCCACCACTGTCGCCTTCACAGAGGTTAACTCAGAAGACAAAGGAGCTTTGGCTAAGCTGGTGGAAGCTATCAGGACCAATTCCAGCGACAGATATGATGAGATCCATTGTCACTGGGGAGGCAATGTCCTGGGTCCCAAATCTGTGGCTCACTTTGCCAAGCTGGAAAAGGCAAAGGTGAATGAACTTGCCATTAAACTGGGTTAAGTATGCACTGTTGAGCTTTCTGTACATAAAAATAATAAAAATAATACAAATTCTCCTTCAAAAAAAAACAAAGAAACATTTGGTTCTTAAGAGGGGGGAGAAATTATTTACAAGTAAAGCCACATTACCTTTCCCAAGACATGTTCTTGCATCTTTACTTCAGGCTCCTTTAATCTGCAAAAGGAGAGGTGAGGGAAGCACAATGACTGAGTAACACTAAACCACAGGCCTCAAATTTTCTAAAAGAGCGTAGCAAGCAGAGCCCCTAAAACAGTACAGGTGAATTTTTCTTCCCTCCAACAGTGTCTGACAAGAATCCTAGAAACAGGAAAATTTTCTTACTATATTGAATTCAAACCCTAACAAAATGAGAAGACTATATGCATTAGTCTGCTTAGGCTGCCATAAAAAAAAAAAATACCATAGACTGTGCGGCTTAAATAACAGAAGTTTATTTTCTCACAGTCTGGAGGCTGGAAGTCTGAGATTAGTGTGCCTGCATGATCAGTTTCCAGTGGGAGTTCTCCCCTTGGGTTGAAGAAGGCTGCCTTCTTCCTTGTATATTCGCTCACATGACCTGTTCTTTGTTCAAATATGGAGAGAGAGGGAGTAAGCTCTCTGGTATCTCTTGTTATAAAGGCACTAATTCATCATGAGGGTCTACCATGTAATCCTAATGTCCTCCTTAAGGCCCCATTTCCAAATAACATCACATTCGGTGTTAGGACTTCAACAAATGAATTTTGGGGGAAACACAGATGTTCAGTCTATAACACCATATAGCATGAAGTGATTGAATAGTGCCTCCTAATCTCTGTCATAATCACCAATAAAAAACATGATGAGGCTGGGCATGGTGGCTCATGACTATAATCCCAGTGCTTTGGGAGGCCAAGGCAAGAGGATCACTTGAGCCTAGGAGTTCAAGACCAGCCTGAGGAACATAGCAAGACCTTTTATCTATAAAAATTTAAAAAATTTGCAGGGCATGGTGGTACTTACTGGTAGTCCCAGCTACTCGGGAGGCTGAGGTGGGAGGTTTGCTTGGACCTGGGAGATGGAGGTTCCATTGATCCCTGATTGTACCTCTGCACTCTAGCCCGGGAAACAGAGTGAGACCCTGTCTCAAAAAAAAAAAAAAAAAAATTAACAAATATCTTTTGAGATTTTATGCTAGGTGTAGGAGATACAAGAATGGCTATCTCAAGGAAGTGAAAGTTCTATCTGCCTGACTGTGAAGGCATTCCATTAGTAAAACTTTTCCATTTTTCACCCTTAATGTCTAATAATGCTGTCTCCTTTGCCTTCTAATATAATCTCACCTGAATCCCCTTTCTGTTAGCATCCCCGTTTACCTCTCATTCCACTTGCACCAATTATAGAATACCATCATCTCTTACCATTGAAGGCTATCAAAGGAACCTGTGGGTTTTTCCACTGAAAGGAATTTCTCTGCCATATTGTATCTCAGCTGACATGAAACAGGCCCATTCATTTCTGCTTCAGAAAGCAGACAGCTGCATTTTCTTTGACCTGAGCCTTTATGAAATCACTTGTGAAAACTAATCCACTCCCTTAATAACCCATTAATCCATTAATCTATTAATTTGTGAATGAATTAATTCATTAATGAGGTCAGAGCCCTCATGACCCAATCACCTCCCAAAGGTCCCACCTCCTAATACTGTTGCACTGGGGACCAAGTTTCCAACACATGAACTTTGGGGAAACACATTCAAACCATAGAATACCCATAAGGCTTAAAAATCCTGTTTTAGAATATGGCATGGTAGAGAACTGAACATAAAGACCCTGATCCAATAGCTTTTGGTCTAAGACTTGTCTTTAAGTGTTAATAAGAGATTTGTGTTTAAAAAAACGAATTCAGGCTGGGCGCAGTGGCTCATGCCTGTAATCCCAGCACTTTGGGAGGCCGAGGTGGGCAGATCACCTGAGGTTGGGAATTCGAGACCAGCCTGACCAACATGGAGAAACCCCATCTCTACTAAAAATACAAAAAATTAGTAGGTGTGGTGGTACATGCCCGTAATCCCAGCTACTCGGGAGGCTGAGGCAGGAGAATTGTTTGAACCCGGGGGGCGGAGGTTGTGGTGAGCTGAGATCAGGCCATTGCACTCCAGCCTGGGCAACAAGAGTGAAACTGTGTCTCCAAAAAAAAAAAAAAAGAACAAAACCAAAAAACAAACGAATTCGGCCGGGCACAGGTGGCTCATGCTTATAACCCTAGCACTTTGGAAGGCCAAGGCAGGTGGATTGCTTGAGTCCAGGAGTTCAAGGCCAGCCTGGGCAACATGGCAAAACCTTGTCTCTATAAAAAATACAAAAATTAGCCAGGCATGGTGGTGCACATCTGTAATCCCAGCTACCTGTGGGGCTGAGGTAGGAGGATTGCTTGAACCTGGGATGTCGAGGCTGCAATGAGTCAAGATCACACCACTGCGCTCCAGTGTGGGTGAAAAGTGAGACCCTATCTCAAAAAAAATTTAATTGAAAAATTTTAAAAATTAAAAAATGAATTCCCTCACATTTATAGCTTAGGTCCCTTGAAAACAATGTAACTAGTTGTAAGGTTGAGCTGATCACACTGTCCTTAAAAAACATCAGAGGGACTATTTCTGAGTAACCAGACAAATGTGATAAGAACTTAAACTTCTTGAGTCTGCCCCTCTACAAATAGACCAGGTAGGTCTTAAAGCACATATTCCTTCATTGATGTTTATATAGAGCTTTTAGATTCCTGGTGCCAACTTTAGAGCTATATAGTCATTTATAATACCTATAAGCTGAGAGTTATCTTTACCAGAAATCTAAATGCCAGGATTGGTAATGGTTCCACTATAACCCAAATAATTTGAGATATCTTACTTTTATGTAATGGTTTTAATAATAAATAACATATACATTCAACCTGGACTCCTCCAACTAAAAAGGAAGATGTAAAACTCAAATAGCATTTCCTAAAAGGTTCAATTTTCCCCAAGTTTGGAAATGAGTACTTAAACAAAATAAATTGGGCTTTTTAGTAAGTATTCCATGAAAACTTTTCTTTTTTAATTGGAGGAATCAAGAGAGAAAAGAGATATAGGTATATATTCTGGTGAACAAAAAAGCACTTATTTGAAGTGTTTGTTGATTTCTGTAGTGTAAACACTCCCACCATAGCCGATTTCGAGCTACCGACCTGACATCATTGAATGTAGAGTTGGAAAGAGATGCATACATTTGGCTCTCATGGGCCTGTGAAAGCTGGTTCCAGCACTCACTCACTGTTACCGGGGAAAAAAAGAAATATGAACTTATTAGCTGTTAAAGATCCATAAGACTACATCTTTCCTGGATGTAGTTTTTGGATAATCCAGTATTTGGAATTAAATTTATTTTTTAAAATTATGTTTACATACTTAATAAAACTAAAGATTCCTTTGATAAAGTTTATTTTATTTTATTTTATTATTTTAAGAGACAAGATCTTGCTCTGTTGTCAAGGTTGGAGTGCAGTGATGCAATCATAGTTCACTGCAACCCCAAACTTCTGGACTAAAGCAATCCTCCTACCTCAGCCTCCCAAGTAGCTAGGACTACAGGTGCATTTTGTTATTTTTGTTAGATAATTTTTTTGTTCAACTAAATAACAAAATTAATCTAATTCTGTTATTTTTTGTAGAGACAGGGTTTCATTATGTTGCCCAGGCTGGTCTTGAATTCCTGGCCTCAAGCTATCCTCCTGCATCACCCTGATACATCTTTTAAATGTTGCACAACTTTGATGTGATTTAGGTGTAAACATGGCAACAAGTTTTCCCCAGTAAGAAATATAGATAAGGATATAAATGTTTGTTAGTAAGACAATGATACAAAAAAGACTGTGTTTCTCATCTTGGCAGTTTCTGTGCCTTCATTGTTTTCATGCCATCGAATGAGATAGACTTATAGTATTCTCCATGACCGTCAGCAAGATGGCAGACATTTCACAGTAACCTTACAAATAAGCAATATCCTCTTCATTTCTGCAAAGCTGAACAATAATATTTGAAGATGCTAAAATAAATAAAAAGTATATTTGATTAAACAACAAAAAATGCAGGAGCACATTTGCAATTTGGATTGAACTTTTTTTTTTCACCTCCAGCCCATATCTCTCTTTGGGGTTCCAACTAGTCTTTCCTGATAGTTTCATTCATGGAGACATCTGAATTTGAACATGGCTAAAACTAAACCTTTAATCTTTTCCTCCCCTTCAATTGCACTTCTCTTTCTGCCTTTCCTTCCAGCTGCTCACCCCAAAACTTGGGAATCATTCTTGATAATTTCATTTTTCTTACTTTCCATATCTAATCAATCATCAGTCCTCCTAATTCTTATCTATCATTTCTCCTGGGGTGACTGCCATAGCCTCCTAACTTGTCTCCCTTCTATGTTCCACACAACAGATACCGCATTGTTTTAAAAATGTAACTTAAAACATCTTATTTTGTGTAAATCCTTCAATGGCTTCCCTTCTATTTAGGATAAAATCTAGCATCTTTATTTGATTTTTCCATTTTGGGTTTCTTTTTTCTCTTTTAGCAGAATTGTGGCAAGAACTTCACAAACCTTAATCTTTAAAATAGCCCTGCATAATCTGACCTCTTGCTATCTGGGCAACCTCATCACCAGCCACTCTTGCCTTTGTTTGCTCACCCTAGCCTCACGGAATTATATCAATTCCTCAAAAATAGTCAATGTCTAGCATAAGGCCTTGCTTAAATTCAAGCCCCTCCCACTACTGACTGCCCTCAAAATCAATTGTAAAATGAAATCACATATGAAATACTAACATTAGAAAACTTCTAACATCTTAAAGAAACCTTTTTTAAAGTATTAATTGACTTTTTTCTTGAAAGTAATTGGCTTACTTACTGTAGCAAGGCTTGAGGGTGAAATAGCAAATGTGAACAGATAGAAGGCAAAACAATAAACTACAGTATCCCACTGGATACAGCTAAATGGCTTTGTACTATAGTGCAGATGTGTTCAACAGAATATAAGTCTTTTTTTAGTGTCCTCAGGGCAATAATATATGTATGCCATCTACCACAAGAAAATTATCACCTACTTCAGAAATGTTAAAGGCAGATATTATTATTATTATTATTATTGAGACAGAGTCTCACTATGTCACCCAGGCCAGAGTGCAGTGGCGTGATTTCAGCTCACTGCAACATCCGCCTCCCGGGTTCAAGTGATTCTCCTGACTCAGGCTCCCGAGTAGCTGGGATTACAGGCGTGCACCGCCAAGCCTGGCCAATTTTTTCTATTTTTAGTGGAGATGGGGTTTCACTGTATTGGCCAGGCTGGTCTCAAACTCTTGGACTCAAGTGATCCACCCACCTCAGCCCCCCAAAGTACTGGGATTACAGGCATGAGACACCGCACCTGGCCTTATTTGGAAGGATATAAAAGTTGTTTGGGAGAAATATTTGAAGGGAACTTTGAGATGATGGTTAGGTCTTAAGACAATTAAGTGCTTGTAACTAGAAAATGTTGAGATAAACCTGCCTCACCCTCTCAGGAGAATCCTTCAGTGTTCTGGTATCTATAGCTATATAACAAACCACCTAAACTTAGTAGCAGAGAACAACCGTCTATTTGTTATTATTTTCTCTCGTGGATCTAGGGGCCGACTGTCCTTGTGTGGTTGCAGTCAGATTATGGCTGGGGCGGGAGTCACCTTACAGGTATTTTCATCCGCATATGTGTGGGTGGATGCATGCTGTTGGCTGTGACCTCAGCTAAGGCTTTTGGCTGGAACAGGTACACATGGCCTTTGTATGTGGCTTGGGATTCCTCACAATAACTGATCTATGTGGGAGAATAAAGGTCTAGCCATCATGACCCATGTTGAGACATTTCTGAAGGGCCATTCCAGCTCTAGAGCTCTCTGTGGAGTCAGCCAAATCTGTCCTTGGGACTGGATCACAGCTTGACTTCTCCCGCTGCACAATCCTGCTTCCTTCCCTTCCCTTCCCTAGGTGCTGATACCAAGGGACTCCTCAATGAGCGTCATGCATGCTAAGTTAGTCTTAGAGTCTGCTCTTGGGGAATCTAGCCCACAACAAAATGGGAACTGTAAATTCAGTAGGAAAAGCTAGCTATGGAGACCAAAATAAGCTGGAATCACATGAGGCCAGTCAGTGTTGGTGCCAGAATTCCTACTTGGGGCATTGGGAGCAGCATTCTCCTGTGTATATGTTTGAGGATGGGAGGTGGGGGTGGAATTCACCTTGGGGATTTATTTTGAAGTGGCTTATGTACAAGTATACTATACCTTAGATTATATATTTATTTGTGGACCTGTCTGGGCAGCTTACAGAGATATGGAGATGAGAATAAAAGTTGCATTCTCCCCCACCATGCCCCAGCCATTCTGAGGATAGCCATCTATGGTTGGTGGAAATAGCTGTGGCATTCTCCAGAAAGTCTGAATAACTGAGGCACTTGGCAGAGTAATTGTTTTTTGTGGCCAAAGAGAAGCAAGAGAATAATCATGGAACAGAGCCAGAGCCTGCAGTGGAGGGCTGATGGAGGGTATAGGAACCATTGCCCTCCTTGCCCAAACTAAGATGTCCCATAGAAAGATTCACCTGAAGACTTTAAAAAGCTTGTTAGAGCCTGTCTGGAATCAACCAAAACTCAGTTTCAAAGGCCCTTATCTCTCAAATATTAGCATGGTGGACTCTCCTTTGGTTTATCGTTTTACCCATGTATCACCTTTCCAAAGAGGCTTCCTTGATTGCTCACGATGGTTAACCTAGCACCCTTTTCACTCTCTCTTTTTATACTATTTTTTATTTTCCTTTATATTGATTATCACCACATGACACAATTTCATGTATTTGTTTGTTTATTTGCCATCTCTCCTCCTAGAATGTAATCTCCAGAAATGCTGAGAGTTTGTCTATTTCACTGATCACTGTATGCCAAGCACCAGGCAATAGCATGAGATTAATACATATTTGTTGATTGAATGAATGAATGGCCATTTTCTTGGGCAATCAAAATTTCTCCCATTCTTTGTATTCTGCTAGAAATTCCAAACTCTCCAGGTATGGAAAAGCTAGGCAACAGCAACTTTTTACTGAATGTTTCCTAAATGACTTTTATTTCATATTTTTGAAATTAAGAAAATAGATTACTATAATAAGTAGAAGAAAATAGATCACTCAGGTAAAAATTAAATATACATGCTCAAACCTTGGTAAATTGAAAAATGCCTCTTCTCTCTTGATTCCCCTCCTTTCATTCCCCCAATAAAGCAAGAAAAGATCATTGCTTCTTAGTGTTTATTAGCTTGAAACACTTTTAACTTTTTTAGTGAAGAGTTCACGTGGGTCAGAATGACACATAAGCATGTGAGCCTTTCTTCCAAATCAATCAGTTGAAATGGGAACATGAATTTATTTGAGTGAGGCTATAAATACTGCCTTGAAAACGCCAACCATCACAAATAAGTACTGATAATAAACCTGAAATATACTGATACAGAGTGATGCAGGATTTTTTGCTCCCTAATTCAGCTAAAATCCAGGTTCTTGTCACATGACCACGAAAAATTAAGCATGTGGACACATTGAAAGGTGAGGAGAGTGAAATTTATTAAAAGAAAGCTCTCAGTGAAGAAAAGGGGGCCTGCCAACAGGCTCCCAACTGACAGACTGAATGCCCGGCCAGCACACACGAGGTGAAGAGGCTAGGCTCCTCTGCCGTGCTCAAGGTGCGAATTCCCGGTGGCTCCACCCCACTCTCCCAGTGCGCGGGCGGTCCCCCAGTCAGATGTGGGCATGCCCAGACAAGGCCCTGGGCAGGTTCTCTCATATGCACGAAAAGCATCTGATGTAAACACTTGTGGGGTGAGTTGGAGATTCTCTGAGTACCCTCCCTCATCTGCCTCCTGAATCTATCAAGAGTACATTATATTTCCGATGGAATAGGGTGACTTTATTCATGAAAGGCATAAATGCAGTCAACTAAGGTAGAATCATTTTTTAAAGAATCTGCTTATTAATTAGAGAGGCATCCATAGAACATCTTTTGGACCAAGTCTTCTGATTTGCTAGGAAATGTCCTCTTTCTCTGTGTTCTGGGAATTTGGAGCTCACCTCCTCAATCCATATGAAGATACAGTCTTCCTCAACTGTGACACTCTTCTCTCCTCTTAGGGATAGACATTCATTCTAGGGACATGCTGGGGACCAAACTGGGCCAATGAGACTCCTTCCTTTGAGATTTGGAATTGAGACCAAAGATTTCAACTCTTTCAAACATAGGAGATATAATCTAGTGTGGGAGTTGTTGATGGTTAATACTTTCTGCTCCATGTCCCGAAAAACAGGGAGAGACAGTGTGCAGAGACTGAAGAATGAAGGAGACTTGGAGGGGAAGCTGAGGCCTGCGAAGGAGGGCCTCTTGGTTTCCTGATGGTGTGTGGGGCCTTGCTTCCAGCTGGCCATTGAAGTCCTGCTGTATCTCTGTCCTTGGGTTCTGTGAGGCAAACTCATTACTTATTATAAATCCCCCATTCCCCACCAGTCTAGCTCATTTGGGTCTTGAAGACTAAACACTGACTTTTTTTTTCTTATATTGCCCAAATTCCTACCTAAGGGGCCTGGGGGAGACACACCCTGCAAACCATAAAGTCTCATCAGAGAGGTTTTATTTAACCCTCTATAATCTGACCTTCTTTCTCACCTGACTCTGGCATAACATCACATAACAAGGAAATAAATCAAAATATTTTAAAACCCAAGTGTATTTCCTTGTCATATTCTTGAAATGGCCCTGCAAAGTTGTCTCTTTTGGGAAAAATCCACATTCTGTAGAGAACCGCCTTTCCCTGCCCTTTTTTTTTTCTTTCCAGATCCAGGAGATAATCAACTAAGAGTCAGGCATCCTTTTAAATCCGATAAGAAAACATTGTACAGCCTCTTCTCTCTGAAGCCTGCTAGCTAAAAGCTTCCTCTACACAATAAAACTTTGGTCTCTGGCCAGACGCAGTGGCTCACGCCTGTAATCCCAACACTTTGGGAGGCCGAGGCAGGTGGATCACGAGGTCAGGAGATGGAGACCATCCTGGCTAACACGGTGAAACCCCGTCTCTACTAAAAATACAAAAAAAATTAGCCAGGCGTGGTGGCGGGCGCCTGTAGTCCCAGCTACTCAGGAGGCTGAGGCAGGAGAATGGCGTGAACCCAGGAGGTGGAGCTTGCGGTGAGCCGAGATCGCGCCACTGCACTCCAGCCTGGGCGACGGAGCAAGACTCTGTCTCAAAAAAAAAAAAAAAAACTTTGGTCTCTACACTGCCAGGTGCAGTGGCTCACACTGTAATCGCATCACTTTGGGAGGCCAAGGCGGGCAGATCACCTGAGGTCAGGTGTTTGAGACCAACCTGGAACCCCGTCTCCAATAAAAATACAAAAATTAGCTGGGCATGGTGGCTGGCGCCTATAGTTTCACCTACCCAGGCAGCTGAGGTGGGAGAATCACTTGAACCTGGGAGGTAGAGGTTGCAGTGAGCTGAGATCTTGCCACTGCACTCCAGCCTGGGCGACAGAGCGAGACCCTATCTCAAAAAACAAAAAAACAAAAAAAAACTGTGGTCTCCACAAGCCAACCCAAACATTTCCTTTCTACCGATCCCAGGTCCTTAGACAAACTCAACCAACTGTCAATCAGAAAATGTTTAAATTTACCAATAGCCTAGACGCTCCTCCCAACCCCCCGCCCCCCACCCCACAACCCTCCAAGTTGTCCCACCCTTCTGAACCAAACCAATGTACATTTTAAATGTATTTGATTGATGTCTCATGTCTCCCCAAATTGTATAAAACCAGGCTGTGCCCTAATCACTTTGGGCACATGATCTCAGGATCTTCTGAGGGCTGTGTCATAGGCCATGGTCACTCATGTTTGGCCCAGAATAAATCTCTTTAAAATATTGTACAGAGTTTGACTCCTTTTGTCAACAGTCTCTATCACTTGCCATGAAATGTTCTAACAAATATACTTTTTTAAAAGTAAGTTTTAGGCTTCTCAGGCCTGCCAATTTCTCTCCAACTACCCATGAGAAATCTCAGAAAGACAAAGAGGAGGAGGAGGAGGGGAAGTTCTTTCTTCCCTAGCAGAGAAGCAGACACTATTTAGCAGCATTAAGGTATTTCTGATAAAGGGATGAATCGAGGACGTTCACAAAAGTCCCGGTCTTAATATTCTGTTCAGTTTGGAGACACTTGTAAAAATGTATAACCCTGTTCTCCTTTCTGTTATTAAAAACTCTCTGTGAAAGATATTTGTACAAAGGAGTCTTTTCAGAGTGGCTATGTCCTCTGAAGTTTCTCTATATCCTCTGGCAGTCTGCAATTCTAATTGGTTATCTTAGAACTTGTTTCCCTAGTAATTGTATTCAAACTGACATCTCCACTATTTAAAAGGCAATTACATGTTTGCCAGATTTCTTTGTTAAGCCAGAAGAGAAGTTTAAAATGGCCTTTCCCTCTGCTTTATGGTCAAATGAAGAGCACATTCATGATTCTCTTGGTCTCCTTTTTCAAACAGGTAGGTGAGAGTTTTTGTCTCATTAACTAGAATCAGTTGGGGTTGTAACTACTTCCCATTCTTATTGCTTCCCATCCTATTGCTGTCATACAATTTATTTTCATTAACTGATCCCTAATACTGGGAAATGCATTTAAATTCCATGAGTCCTTATTTCCTATTCTTTCCCACACCATATTTAAAAGATGAGTGTTTTCATTTCTGTAACATAGGCTTGCTGTGTGTGAGGATTCTCAGGGGCTGGGCATCAGTGCTACTTGAAGAAAAACTAATTTGATTTTTATGTTCTCTTGGGGAAGTGGAAAACTCTGCAAAATTTCATTTTGTGAAGAAAGCAAACTCATTTCTGGGTGCATGTCCAAATAATATTTATTTTGTCTGATATGTTTGAGTGGTATCTTCTGGATTTTAGAGGTTTGCCTGGTTCTAGGGGTTTTTGTATGATATGTAGTCCAGGCCTGGGTAACACCAAGGTTTCTCATGCTAATGTGGGCTCACAGTGATTGAAACTGTAAGAGCAGACTGGAGCAGGGAACAGGGAGGACTAAAGCAGCTGTGGGCTGTGTAGACATTTCTCTCTCTTCACATAGCCTCTGACTTTCTCCATTTGGTCTTTCTGCATGAGTTAGTTTGGGTGTTCTCACATCATCATGGCCTTAGGGTATTTGGATTTCTCATATGGCAGTTCAGGGTTACAAAACAGAGTGTTCCAGCCAAAAAGACAGAAGCTGCGTAACGTTTAATGACTCAGCTTCAGAAGTCATATAGTGTCACTTCTGCTGCATCCTACTGGTTACAAGCAAGTCATAAGCCTGCCCAGATCTGAGATACTGATGAGGCAAAGTTCTAGGAGTATCAGACAATGTTGTATATTTTTTATTTTTGACTGTCATAGATATTTAAAATAACTGAAGAGGAGAAAGTAGACAACTAAGTAAATATAATGGACTATTTTCCCTTCTTCATTTCTGAGGTTCCAGGTTTTGCTATGGTATCATTGTACTCTCATGTGAAGAACTTCTTTTAGTATTCCTTTTAGAGCAGGTGCTCTGGCAAAGAATGCTATAAATTTTGCTTCATCTGAGAATATCTCTGTTTTATTGTCATCCCCAAGGTATATTTTCACTTGATTTAGAATTCTGAGTTGACAGTTCTCATCTTTTACCCCTTTGAAAAACGTCATTCTACTTCCTTCTAGCTTCCATGATTTCAGAGCAGGCGCTCTGGCAAAGAATGCTAGAAGTTTTGCTTCATCTGAGAATATCTCTATTTTATTGTCATCCCCAAGGTATATTTTCACTTGATTTAGAATTCTGAATTGACAGTTCTCTTCTTTAACCCCTTTGAAAAATGTCATTCTACTTCCTTCTAGCTTCCATGATTTCTGATGAGAAATATGCAATCATTAAACTTACTGATCCTCCACTTAGATGTATCCTTTTTCCTCTGGCTACTTTCAGCAGCATGATTATGATGTCTCTAGGCATGACTTTTTATCTTTTATTTATTTATTTATTTATTTATTTATTTATTTTAGTTCATCTTGTTTGAGGTTTTCTTAGATTCCTTTATCCGCACCTTTATATCTTTTACCAAATCTAGGAAGTTTTCAACTTCTATTGAAATATTTTTTTTCTGTGTCACACCCTTCCTTCTCTCCTTCTAATATTATAATGATATAAACATTATAACTTTGGTATTGTTTCACAGGTCCTTGAAGTATTGTTAATTTTTTAAAAAAACTTTTCCTCTACATTGTTCAGAGAGAGTAATTTCAATTCACCTATCTTCAAATTCACTGAGTTTTTCCTCTGTCATCTCCATTCTGCTATGGAAGCCATCTAGTGAATTTTAAATTTTATTTTGTTTTGCATATCTAAAATTTCCATTTAGTGTGTTTTTTTATGTGTTTTTATTTTTATATCTTCTATTCCTCTTTGAAGACCTTATATCTTTCCACTGGTTTAAAGGGAGGGAGTTTATGAATTTGCTAAAGAAAATGTGGTACACCATGGAATGCTACGCAGACATAAAAAATAATTAAATCGTGTTCTTTGCAGCAACATGGATACAGATAGAGGCCATTATCCTAAGCAAATTAATGCAGGAACAGAAAAGCAATTACTGCATATTCTCATTTGTAAGTGGAAGCTCAACAGTGGTACTCATGGACATAAAGATGGCAACATAGACATTGGGGACTATTAGAGGGGCAAGAGATGGAGGGGGATACGTGTTAAAAAACTATTGGGTACTATGCTTAGGACTTGGGTGACATGATCAGTTGTACCCCAAACCTCAGTATCACACAGTATATGCAGATAACAAGCCTGTATATGTACCCTCTGAATCTAAAATAAAAGTTGACATTATTTTTTTTCAAAGAGTGTTTGTCCTCATCTCTTGAAGTGTGGTTATAAAAGCTGTCTGAGAATTCTAACATCTATATAATCTTGGAGTTAACAACTATTAATTGTCTTCTCTCTTGTGAAATGTTGAGATTTGCCTGATTCTTCATGTGCTAAGTAATTTTGGATTATATATTGAACATCTTGACTATTAATTTATGTGACTCTGAATCCTGTTTAAATCATATGAAATAGATTTTTTTTATTTTTGTAGTTAATCAACCCTTTAAATCCTATGAAATGGATTTTTAAAACAATTTTTGTAGTTAATCAACCCAGTTAGGTTTAGACTACAAGTTCCTACTATCCTTCTGTGGGCTATAGTTCTAATTCAGTTCCATTTTCATATCTTTACAGTGCTATTTGGATTTGTCCCAGGTCTGGGCCACCCCATAGCCAGTCTTGGACTTGTGTAGTGGCCTACCCTATAATTCAGTTATCAAATCCTTTAGTATGCTATTTAGGGTCAGATTTATGCATGTGCACCTTGGGGGTTAGCCCAGAAGTTTGTACAATTTTATAGGATTATTTTCTTGAACTTTGTTATTTTCACAATCACCTTGATACTTTCAAGCTCCTAGCATAACCCCTTCCTGGTTCACTGGCTAGAAATCCAGGGCTTTTGATTCCTTGCCCTGCCGTGCACAGCATTTCCATTTGGGGCTAAGCAGTGAGGAAATATATAAAGAAAAATAGAGATATAGAGAAATCCAAATATATAGTCTTACATTCTTGAGACTATAGTTCCTTTGATCACACTAAATAATTCTCTTGGAGTTTTAGACACCAGCCTGGCTGCTTTTCTTGTTACAAGATTGCCAGGGGACGGTACAAGAGAGAATGAAAAATGGGGGCAAAAAAACCAGAAAATTTTCTCTACTATCTCTGACCCATAAGGACCCTCTTTTCCACTCTGTGGACCAAATTAGAGGACTCCTCTTGGAGTACTTTCTTTCTGCACCCATTGTGCGGTTCCAGATTTCAGACTGCCTTTGAGTCCAGGACAGGAGATACTGGAGGAGGGATAACAGAAAGCTTGCCACCAGTTCGGCAGTACTTCAAGTTCTGGTTTCCTTCCCTAGTCTGTCATGACCATACACTTTCCAGAGTCCTTAGATAACTGCTCTGTGCATTCTTTCCAGAGTTTTTAGCTGCATTCAGTGGGAGAGAGAGGATGAAGTACACTTACTTTACTGTGACACTCTGTTTAATAGCTAATATCTGCTTTTTCTTCTCTTAGGCTTCCTTTTCCTTTCTATTATTATTTGAGTTAGATTTTTAATCTGGCCTATCATCAAAGCTTGTGGAACCAAATGGAATGATTCCATAATTTGTTGTGTTGGTACTATGTTAACACTACACTGCCATATTGCTGCCAACAGTGCTTTTATTTTTAATTGCATTCATAAGGGTTATTTGACATAGTTTTCTCTAGTGAAACAGCAAACAACAATGAAAATAAGAACTTACCTCTTAATCTGCAAAACCAAACCAAGTAAAAATTCTCAAAAGATTCTTGGATCTGTAAACTATCAGTGTTCCTGGGTCTTATTTGGAAACATAAAATAATGAGACTGCCTAGATTAAAAAGAAAATTATATTGGATTTTTATGGTTTGAAATTTGTGTCCCCGCCCAAATCTCATGTCAAATTGTCATCCTCAGTGTTGGAGGAGGGTCTTGGTGAGAGGTGATTGGATCATGGGGTTGGATTTCCCCTTTGCTGTTCTCATGATAGTGAGTGAGTTCTCATGAGATCTGGTTGTTTAAAAGTATGTAGCCCCTCACCCTACTCTCTTGTTCTCTTTCTCCAGCTGCGTAAGATATGCCTGCTTCCTGTTTGCCTTATGCCATGATTGTAAGTTTCCTGAGGCCTCCCCAGCCATGCTTCTATACAGCCTGTGGAACCATGGGTCGATTAAACCTCTTTTCATTACAAATTACCCAGTCTCAAGTAGTTCTTTATAGCAATGCAAAAACGGACAAATACATGGATTGTTTTTGGATTCTGAAGATTCAGTGCTATGGATTTCACATGAGTTTGGCTATTTTGATTAAAATGTGGCTGTTTGTCTTTCCATCTCTGCTTTGTTTCATATTTCAGACTCTGGCTCTCACTCACTATTTATGTCTCTTTGCCCTTTGAAATCACCGTTCTTGGTCCTGCTGCTGTCCCACTACATTCTACCACTCAGTTGGTACTAGGGTGATGGTGGAATCATAGGCCTCCAATGAACCTCAAAAGCTATCTAGTCCAATCTCCTATCTGATGCAATGGCTAATTACTCTTGGAAAAGAAGTCTCTATTATTTAATTGACCTTCTCCTTAAATTTCAATTCATTTTTTTAAAAATGTGAACTCTAGGCCAGGCGCGGTGGCTCACGCCTGTAATCCTAGCACTTTGGGAGGCCAAGGCGGGCAGATTGCCTGAGTTCAGGAGTTTGAGACCAGCCTGGGCAACACGGTGAAACCCCATCTCTACTAAAATACAAAAAATTAGCTGGGCGTGGCGGCATGTGCCTGTAGTCCCAGCTACTTGGGAGGTTGAGGCAGGAGAATCACTTGAACCTGGGAGGCGGAGGTTGCAGTTAGCCGAGATCATGCCACTGCACTCCAGCCTGGGCGACAGAGCAAGACTCTGTCTCCAAATAAACTAACAAAAAAATGTGAACTCTAACAAGTTTATGCAGAATAAATACACATCACTTATTTTTAATAATCATAAATGTTTTTACTAAAACTACTATTTTGAGTTTATCCAAAAAACTCAATAATATAATAATAATTATTTTCAATGAGTTGCTGGTTTAAGTGAAACAATATAACTATACACACAGGAAAAGGACAGGCACAGGTCTATACTCTCAATAAGTGCTGAAGGAAAGGGAAGCCTCGGGAATGTTTGGTCAAAAACCTCTGCTGGGTGATGTAGTCTTTAAGCTTTCCCTTGATGAGAGTGGCTCAGCTGGAGAGATGGAATGGAGGGGGTTAGGAGAGGGCCCTTCAGGCAGAAATGGAACAACCAGATCTAGACTCACAATGGAAATAAGAAAAGCATAAATAAGAAAAGCATGAATAACAGAAAGTGAAGGAATGAGAATGAGTGGCACTGATGTATGTCCTACTCTGAAAGGTAAAAAGACACGGAGTTCCAATAGCCAAGCTCTACCTTTCCGGAAGACGGAGAAACACATTTGGAAAGAATACAAAGCATATGGGCCTGGGGTTTAGGAATGAGAAAGCATCACATTTTAGGATGGGTGATGGTTAAATGTTCAGCCTTGCCATAGGACCAACCTGGATTTAAAGTTTAGGTCTTCTTCCTGCTGGCTGTGTGACCTCTCTCAGGAAAGGTTGTGTGTTTCCTCTCTAGGAAAGTTATGCCTACCTCATCAAATAACATGTTTGTAAAATACTCAGAGTAATGGCTGGCACAAAGTAAACACTTAGTAAATGGTAGCTCTTCTTCTTACTATTATTTTTATGGAAGCTCTGAAGTGGTTGAAGATGGGCTTGCCCCCCTCATTTCTACAGCAATTCATTAAGGAAATATTTTCCAACTTGGGAACTTTTGTCTTCGTTATTATTATTTTTGTTATCATTATCTTTTGAGACAGGGTCTTGCTCTGTCACCCAGGCTGGAGTGCAGTGGCGCAACCACAGTTCACTGCAACCTTGACCTCCCAGGCTCGAGTGATCCTCCCACCTTAGCATCCTGAGTAGCTGAGATTACAGGCACTTGCCATCATACCTGGCTAATTCTCATATTTTTTGTAGAGACAGGGTTTCGGGTTTCTCCATGTTGCTCAGGGTAGTCTCAAACTGGGCTCAAGTGATCCTACTGCCTTAGCCTCCCAAAGTGCTGTGATTACAGGCTTACAGGAGTGAGCCACCATGCCTGGCCTCTTTGTTATTATTAATTAGCATTCATATAACATATGAATTAGCATTCATATAACTTAATGTTCCAAATGTTCTGACAAAAATTTGTTTGCAACTTTAATACCACTCCTGACAGAAGGTAGGTGCTACAACAAAAGAGGAGTAAGGAGAACATAATTAAAAGAGCATATTGAGATAAGTAATTTATGACCCAAAGTATGGATCTGAACACTGCACCAACCAAGACTGTGTGCTGACAATGTGTCCATTTTTCTAACCCAACTGGTTACCACTAAATCCCCTCACCTGTTGTGCATGGACTGTCCCTTCAGCAGAAGTGCCTGGAATTACTTTGTTTCTACATAAAAATTTTACAGTGTTCAACTGATACCCTGAAATCTTTGCAAGGAGTTACATGCTGTTTCAAAGATTCATAAGGAAATTGACTATTTGAATTTAGAAGTGCATTTTCCCATAAAAACTTGATTTAAACAGTTTACTTCTGAGGTGAGTCCACCAAATGAATGCATAATGCAACTGAAAAATTAAATATTTTAAAATAGAAAGGCAGTTTAAAAAAACTGGTATAATATTGGCTATTAAGCAGAATAGGAAAATAGTGTTTGTCAATGAAACAGTAGCCCCAGGTTCAGTCCTCTGCTCGGCTACTCTCTGGTTGTGTGAATCTGACCAGATCATTTTACCTCTCCATCCCACAGTTTCTTCATCTGTAAATGAAAGCGTAGGAAGACTTTTAAAAAGTCTTTCCTATTCCTATACCCACTAAAACGAACTGAAAGAAGCTAATTATAGAAGGAAACTGTCTACAGTGAAACTAAGAAAGGCTCTAACCTCATGCTACTAACTCATCAACATCATCCACAAAGATGATCATCCACAAAGAACATCACGTGAAGTGACCTAAAAGAGAAGCAGCGTTCTGATGCAGGACTCTCTTGCTCCTGGACACAATGAAAACTAGAGATAAGACTGAAGCACTTCTAATTCTATCCAGTTTAGAGGAACGAAGCCTTCAAAGAAAGGGTGGGCATCAGGAAAGACAGCAAACATTCTACTTTGAAACATTCCCCTGCTTAAATTATCTCCAAGAGGCTATATCTCCAGAAGTCCTACTTAGGTTGGATTTGAGGAGAGATATTTGTTAGAAGGGGGGCCTTAAAGCTGATTTTGCAAAGTACTTTACATCAGACTGAGTGAATGTCAAAGGTCAATATCAAAGAACTGGGGAGAGGGCACTAATAAAATTATGGAGCCAACAGTCCCCAGGTACCCCCTGGCTCCGCCATAGATGGAAATAATGGGACAGGAGGAGGAAGCCTTCAACAAAGGAGAAACTGTTTTCTTCTTTGTAGAAACCACTTGGAGGGCAGTCATTGGGAAAACTCTGAAAGGCCACTGAAGCCCCAAGCTCAAATCAGCTGACAGCTGTGCAGCCCTTTGTGTCTCAGGGTCCCTAGTGTGACAAGACGAGGGGAACTTGAGGCCACAGAAATGCAGCAGTTAACCCATCTCATAGTGGGGAGGAGTGAGACCTACCAGAGGGAATAGAAATGTGTCATGCCCAATTATTGAGGGAGCCCACATCGGCTACAAACACAGGCCTTTCTTTATAATAAGAGCAGGGGAAAATTCCCAGTAGACTGGAGAAAAATGAAGAATCAGGAAAGAGGTCAAGCCAGGTGATCAGCAAATGGCTTCCTGTGAAATAGATTTGGGGCATCAAACAGCAGAGAACTGTAAACAAAATGTTGAACTTGAACTCTAAATGATCTCTAAATCTCATTCCAACTCTAATATCTCGAGGATCGGTGCAAAAGAAATCTTTATCACAAATCTTGATACTTATAGAAACACAGATTTAAGTGGAAAAGAATGAAGGTGGTAAGTGAGGACTTCATGGTGATTCTGAGGGGGGCTTTGAGTACTTGCAAACACTTTGGATTCAAGGGTTTTGCTATCATTGATTTTACCTGCATTGTGAAGGCTCTCCTAGCAGGTTGCAGAGCTGTCCAAAGAGGAGCACAACTCACTCTCTGTGGCCTACAAAAACATTGTTGAAGGCTACAGGTCCACCTGGAGGGTCTCTTGAGCATTGAGCAGAAAAACCAACACCTCTGACAAGAAGTTGCAGCTGATCAAGAACTATTGGGAGTGAGCTTCACATCACTGAGAAAAAACAAAAAACAAACCAAAAAACAACAGAAAACTATCAGGAGAAAGTCAAGTCTGAACTGAGATCCGTATGCATTACTGTCCTGCAATTTTTGGATAACTATTTACTATCCAATGCAACTAATCTAGCGAGTACGATCTTTTATCAAAAATAAAGGGAGATTACTTCCAGTACCTTTGTTGCACGTGGTGATGGTTGAAACAAATGATAGATAATTCCCAAAGAGCTTCCTAAGAGGCATTTGATATAGTAAAGAGATGTAATCCATATACATGTCTTAACATTTCTGTACTTTACTATGAGATCCTTAATAACCCAGAGCTTGCCTGCGAACTGACTAAAACCACTTTTGATAGGCCATAGAAGAACTTGATACACTGAGTGAAGATTCAAAGACAGCACCCTTATCATGCAGTTGCTTATAGAGACAACCTAACATTATGGCCATTAGACAGTGCAAGAGAAAAATGTGATGTGGCAGCCAAGAGACAGAAAAGTAAATGCATACAAGGCGTAATCTTTCTTCCCTTCAAGAAACTTTTGTACACATCTCCATTGCCTTTTCCACTTGGATTTCCTGTAGCAAAGAAACCCATTCATGATGGCCGGGCGCGGTGGCTCATGCCTATAATCCCAGCACTTTGGGAGGCTGAGGCAGGCCGATTACGAGGTCAGGAGTTTGAGACCAGCCTGGCCAACATGGTGAAACCCCGTCTCTTCTAAAACTACAAAAATTAGCTGGGTGCGGTGGCAGGCACCTGTAATCCCAGCTGCTCGGTAGGCTGAGGCAGGAGAATCGCTTGAACCCAGGCAGCAGAGGTTACAGTGAGCTGAGATAGCGCCACTGCACTCCAGCCTGGGCGACAGAGTGAGACTCCATCTCAAAAAAAAAAAAAAAGAAATTCATTCATGCGTATGGGATCAACCCATTTACAGTCTTTTCACAATGCAGCTTTGGGAAAACTCCATTTCTTTCGTTTGTCCTGGCCCTCCTGGTGTACAGTTACTGCTATAGAAAAGTATTACTGGCTTCATTTCATATAAAATATTAGTAACTTCCACTTATATAGTGGACTAAAAATGTACTTGATATTTAAGTAATCTGAACTAATGCTGCAAGCAATTATGTTTTGTACCACCCTAAAGATCTGAAAATACAGTTAATTACAATTCGAGAGTATTCCCTATGTAACTTCTTGATTTCTTTATTCCCTCCCTTACTCTTCTTCAAGGGTTTCCTTTCGGTATGGAACTTTTCTGGCCTGGGGGGGAAATTGAAATGTCTCCTATATAATAGTTTATGGAGGTCACGTATATCCATAACAACAAGGTTTTCATTTGCTACTGTTTAAGTTGACAACTTCCCTTCCCAATAAAAATTCATGTACACCTCTTGTCTTTTACTTCCAGTATTCACCTTAACTGTTTAATAGAAGTATCATGTTGCTGCGAAGATACATGCATTGCTTTAGGTAAATTAAAGTGCATATCATTACTTAATACCCTAGAAAGCAGAAATACATTACACAAGTCCAATTCTAAAACTTTAGTACTTTTCTATGCAGATTTGTGCACATGTGAGAGGGTATCCGTTTCATTTAGTGACTGCTACTCAGAGTTGGACCAGCGTTTTTTGTTGCTAATGCACTGTGGTCCCAAAAAAGCCTTGCAAAAATGTTGTGCCCTGTGTAATAGCAGAGAAGCATAAAATAAACTTATACTTTATAAGCCGTTTACTATTGCTTTGTAACAATTGCCTACTCATATTTTAAGGAATAGGTGAGTTCACTACTTTCTGAAGTTTATCATAGTTCCCTTGTATCTTATGCAAAGTGTAGTAATGATACCCATAGTTCTGCATTGTGATACCCTTTTCTAGAGAAACCCAGAGATGTAAAAAATTGTACTACATTTCTCAGAGTGTTTTAACATAGATCAGCATCACAGGCTATCTATTCTTCAGATATAAATTATACATGTTAAGTGTTATATGGTATAAAGTGGACATTTTAAAGCTAGAAATAAAATGGAGTGTATGACAGAATCCTACTCGAAGAAATGATTATAGGGAAGGTACTAGGTCAGACAGTTCCCCATTCTGGTCAGCAGGTGGCACTAGAGTAGCTTGGATGCCAAATGGAACAAAGGGTAAAAATAGATCTGGATCAAAACAAACTTTGGGTGAAAGTGCAGGAGAGGCAGGTGACTGGTTGTTTACATTTCAATATGTCTTATCTCTCTTTCTAAATTGTTCATTGTTTGAAGTGAGGCACACTTCTAGGTACAACTAAAAGTTGTACTGAACCTTTCTGTGCCTTGGACTCTTACCTGAAAATGGATACAATAATAATGCCTACCTCATAGCATTATTGTGAGAACAATGAATTAATGCATGTCAGTGCAACAGTGCAGATTGCAGAGTAAGTGTTCAATAAATGTCAATTATTATGACTCTGCATAATGACCATGAGGCACACATAGTAGAAATTCAAAAGATATTAGTGGACGCGGAATTGCATGGGATGCTCATAAGCCTGATGTTTATAACTCAGAGACCACCTAGTATTAAAATATCTGTAAGACAGATTGGTATGGGAATAATTGGGAATAATTACTTACATTGATAATGTGACTGTTTTAAATGTAACCTCAAGAGTTCACTGAAATGCTATCTTTCTGAGTATCATTTAGTTCACTGAGTCTTTTCAGAGATGTATTGTGAGGGAAATCTAAAACAGTAATAAATATTGCAAAGCTAGGCAAACCTATTCTGGTGTGTTCCTTCAGCAAGAAGTGTCAGTCTCAAACGTGTTCAGCTCAGCCCAGACACAGGAAACAAAGAAAGACCTTCCGCTTTATGAATTCAGTTCCATCATTACCTAGAAAGCCACTCAAGATATACAAAATGTTTGAAGAAAGAGGCTCGTACTGGTCATGCTGTTCTAAGTTTAATATTCAGTGGACCGGGGGGAACTCTCGAGTACTTGCTCAGCCATCAAGCTGCACTTTCCCTTCCAAACTTCTGACTCTGCAAGTTCAGATCTTAGAGTAGGGCTTCTATCCAGCTTCCAGGTTTTCATGCCACTTTTTCCTGAGAGTATAGCTCTGCACTCACCCCCAGATAGGCCCTTGACAGCCTGCCTATCCATTTCTCACCCTCTTATCCTGTTACCTGAACTATGCTACTGTCCGCCATATACTGAATGAGATCCTGCTTCAAACCCCATGGATCCTTCTGGAAAGATTATTACTGCTTCTCTGACTATAAGTACTACTGCTACAGCTTAGATTCACCTGGTATTCCCCATGCCACTTTATTTATTTTTTTATTTATTTTCATTTTTTTTTTTGAGACAGGGTCTTGCTCTGTTGCCTAGGCTGGAGGCCAGTGGCATGATCATAGCTCACTGTAACTTTTGATTCCTGGGCTCAAGCAGTCCTCCCACCTCAGCCTCCCAAGTAGCTAGGACTACAGGCAGGCACCACCATGTCTGGCTAATTTTTAATCTTTTTGTAGAAATGGGGTCTTGCTATGTTGTCCAGGCTGTCTCAAACTCTTAGCCTCAAGTGATTATCCTGCCTCAGCCTCCCAAAGTGCTGGAATTAAAGATGTGAGCCACCCTGTACACCCAGCCTCCACTCCACTTTAGACCCTCCTGTTGGGACCACTGACCATCCCTAGCAGAGGCAGGCCCAGTTGCTGTCTTTTATAATCCTTCCCTTCCCTTGCCTGTGCCCATACTTACCTTCCTTTTTTTTTGTTTTTGTTTTTGTTTTTGTTTTTGTTTGTTTCCCTACTGGCTCAGAAAACCTCATTCATAGCTGATAGGAAGGTAAGATTGGAAGGGAATAAGAAAAAGGCAAATATTACAAGGATGAGGAGTGATAAGAATACTTTGAGCTCCAGAGATGTAAATACTGTGCATAGGAAATAGAAAATAAACAAAATGATTCTGAAATTTTCACATAAGGGAGGAAATATAATTTCATATACAGGCAATATGAAAATAAAGTTGGATTTAACTCTGACTCCTGCCTCTTCCACCTACAGGTGATATGACCTTGTGCAAGGTTAAGCCCTCTGAGTGTATTTCCTCACTTATACATGAGGTTATAAAATGGTTCATTTTGCAGGGTTACTGTGAAGACTAAATACGATGACACATATGAAAATGCTCCATTTATGCCTGGCAACTGTTCTGCCCGTGTCTTAGGTTAGAGGTTGAAAGGTGAAACTATTGGCTGAATTTGGTTCAAAGATATGTTTTATTTTGCCTTGAGTTAGGGTCCCCAAGACCAGCCCCAAGTTTGATGATTCACTAGGAGGACTTATAGGACTCACATATAGTAATACTCATGATTATGATTGGCAAAAGGATACAAAGCAAAATCAGCAAGGAAAAAGGCACATGGGTCAAAATCCAGGATATACCAGCCACAGACTTTCAAGGGTCATCTCCCATGGAGTTCACACAGGATGTGCTCAATTGCCCCAGTAATGAGTTGTGATAAAACATGTGAAATGATGCCAACCAGGAAATTCATTACAGACTCAGAGCTCAGGGATTTTATTGGGGCCTAGTCATATAGGCAGCCTCTGCTAGGCACATACTCAAATTTCAGAGTCCTAGAAGGAAAGCCAGTAGTCAGCATAAACATGTTGTCTACACAAAAAGTTTAGGCACAGCGAGTCACTCTTACCAGTTCTGGGAATGGTGGGAACCCTCCTGAAATCCAAGTTCCCAGATGCCAGCCAAGGGCCGGCTTTGTAAGCAGGCCTTTCCAAGGATAAGCAGTTAGGGCTGCTACCTCAACTTTTTGTTGCACAGACCTGCACAGGGTTTGTCTGTGCAGGTTTCTTTGTTTTGTTTTATTTGTATTTTACTTAGTTGCCATTTTTTAAATATTAAGATATTTCACTCAGGATTTCCATCTTCATGTGAAAAATCAAGTAGTTAAAAAATAGATTCATATTCCCACATGGCAACAATTGGTAGTCCCTTTTAGATAAGGCTTCATGTTCCCTCAAATTCCTCCTAGTCTCTGCCACTCCCAATAGTCTTTGCCACACTGAGCACCAACTGCCATTTACATCCTGCTTTTGCGAATCTGGCCTTGGCCGCTTGGACCAGGAGTGGCCGCTTGGACCAGGAATGGCCATTTGACCAGATGACAAGAGAAAGAAGCAGGCATGTGGAATACCACTGAGTCGTGATAATGAACAATGATGCAAACAGGTCATGGTTAATGAATTCCTCCTGTTGAGGTCACCAGAAATGCCATGAAATCAGAACTCCTCTTTGCCACCCTCTATTATAGCAGTTACTTGTGGGTATTCTTGGGTTGATATGACAACACTTTCATTGCTATATATAGTAAGTCCTCTTTATTTAAGCTAACTCCAGTCAGTCTTTGCTCCTGCCCACCTAAAGATCACTGATCGGAAAAGTGTTAATATAAATTAATTATTACATATATTTGCCCGTTAGAACTTTGTAACTTGAAGTCATTGTTATTGTCATCCCCACCAAGACTTGTGATCACAGACTAAAATATGTCAACAGAAAGGTAAATCTTGTTCAAAGGAAATCAATCCAATCAAGTAGTTGTATGTATCGATATGCCCTTTTATTTACTAACTCAACTACTGTGTGATAAAATGAAATTTCATCTTTATATTCCTAGCATCTAGAAAACTACCAGCTATGGAGTTGGATTCAATAAATGTTTCCTAACTTTATAAAGTTCATCTATAACAAGGTCTAGAAACCCAAGGATAGAAATAATGAAAATCATTATGCTCATGCTAAAAAGGGGAAAATGCAAGTGATATAATTGCAGTAGTGTGCTGCATGCCACCCAACCATACAAATGTTCTAGATGCTTCTTTTCTCATTCTAGTTACAAAACCGGCACAGATACAAGCTCCAGAGAAGGAACTGCAAAGATTCCAATGTCTGTTGATAGGTTCATTCTACTAAAAGCAAAGAATTTGAAAAGTTCTTTACTTGCTTCCTTGATAGTTTCATTTCTCAGACGACTGAGGAAGCAATTAGGGGATTTTATATTCTAGACTTGACTTTTACTAATAAGAAAAACTGAGTTTTTAAAGTTAGTAAAGTAACTAGAAACTACAAGAACACCAAGAAAAAGAGGCAGTGTCATGCAGATTGCGTATCCCTTATCCATTAAGGTGCTAACATAAGAATTAGGCGTGCTGGGGATTCATTCATTCATTCAACAAATGTTTACTGAATGCTTACTATACGCATGCCTATTTTAGGTTCTGGGTATATGACAGTGAATAACATAGACAAAAATCCATGCTCTGTTGGACCTTGCATTCTAGTTGGGGGACGGGGATAATAAACAGCTATATTAATAAAATATGTAATAGTTCAAATGGTGATATGAACTATGAAGGACAATGTCAGGGAAGAGGAATAGAAATTGCTAGGGAAGAAGGATGCTGTAATTTTATGTAAGGTTATTGGAGAAGGCCTTGAAAAAGGGACATTTGAGCCAAGGTAGATGGGGGAATGAGCTATGTAGGCAAGTGGGAAAAGAGGGAGAGAGAACAGAAGGTATATATGGGTTTGTGCCCTGCTAAGTGAGCCAAGGGAGAGTAGGAGATGAGATTAAAGATTGCAAAATGCCTTGTAGGCTATTGACTTTGGTTTTACTCTGGAATGAGAAGCCGGTAGAGAGTTTGAGCAGGGTAGTGACATAATCTAGCTGACATTTAAAAACGCAGGCGAGAGGGAGGAAGCAGGAGATTAGTGCAATAATCCAGATTAGAGATGTTGCTAGTGTAGACCAAAGTGATAACAGCTGACTTGGTAAAAATAGTCAGATTCTCGACATATTTTGAAGGCAGGGCTACCATGATTGAATTATGGGAGAGGAAAAGTGGCAGAAAGAATTGAGGATGACTCTAAGGTTTTGGCAAGAGTGACTAGAAGGATGGAGATGTGATTAACTGAAATGGAGGAAAACTGTGAAAGGAAGAGTTTTGTAAGAGAAGAGGAGTTCAATTTTTAGACATGTTAAATTTGAGATTCCTTTTACACCTCAAAGTGGAAATGTTGGTAGGCAGTTAAATATATGAGCCTGAAATTTAGGCAAGAGTTCTTGGCTGGAGAGTTATCAGTATATAGGTAATATTTAAAACCATGAGATTAGATGAGATCACTGAAGGAGAGAAAGTATTGGCCAGGTACAGTGGCTCACGCCTGTAGTCCCAGCACTTTGGGAGGCTGAGGCAGGAGCATTGCTTAAGCCTAGAAGTTTAAGACCAGACTGGGCAACACAGTAAGACCCTGCATAGCAAAACCCTGTCTCTACAATTTTTTTTTAATTAGCTGAGGATGGTGGCACACACCTGTAGTCCTAGCTACTCAGGAGGCTAAGGTGGGAGGATCGTTTGAGCCCAAGAGTTAGACGCTGCAGTGAGCTATGATCACACCATGACACTCCAGTCTGAGCAATGGAGTGAGATTCTGTCTCTAAAAAAAAAAAAGAAAAGAAGGAAGGAAGGAAGGAAAAGAAAGAAAGAAAGGAAGGAAGGAAGAGAGAGAGAGAGAGAAAGAAGCATTGAAGATAAGAATATAAGAGTTTCAAGAATGAGGTGTTTCAAAGTTTGGATGTGAGGGTGATGATAAGGAATGAGCAAAGGAGGCTGGAGGCTGAGAGAGAAGTAGCAGCTGAAGAAATAGGAGACAATCTGAGAGAATGAGATGTCCCGGCAGCAAAGGGAATAAAGTGCCTGGAGAGGAGAGAGGTCACTGTCAAGTGAAGAGAAGTCAAGATAAAATAAAGACTTACCTTTGGATTTTACCATGTGGAGGCTTTAACATGGGCAGTTTAAGTGTTGTAAAGGTGAATAAAACACTGTTGGAGTCTGGTCAAGAGAGAATCAGTAGAAAAGAATTTGGAGACTGCAAATTTCAAGCAACAACAACACGCGGTCTATTTCTACATGTTTTGCAATAAAAGGGAGCAGAGAAATGGACAGTAGGTAGAAGAAGAATGTTGGGTCAGGAGGATTTTTTTTAATTGGAGGAATTTGTATGTTGATGGAGTGATCCAATGGAGAGGGGAGGGGAAACTGAGGATGTAGGAGAGTGAAAGCAGAATTGACAGAGCAATGTTCTTGAGGAGGCATGTAAAAACAACAGATGTCTGCTCCAAAAACATATGGGAAATCTTAGAAAGCCCAGATTTTCTAAAAACCCAGAGTAAAGATAACTGCGGTCCTATGACCAACACCATTAAAAAGGGACAGCAGATGCAGAAGAATGGAAGTGTCGAAGGGGTGGAATTCTGATGGAGTGGAGGATTCTGGCTTGAACCTAAATTTGGTCACCATTGGCATTCATTCAGACACATCTGCCTGTGTAGTGACAGGGCATGAATCCTCTGTTTTCATGCATGAGTGGAAGTCTCCTGGGAAAGAATTTCTTCTAAAAGAAGAGAAAGCAGGGCCCTTAAGTTTGGACCAATAACTGGTCAGAGGGGAGGGGTGTTTAGCACACTGTGATGTCTGTCTCTCAGGTTTGGCCTCTGGTCCAGCCTTCATAAATCCATGTCAGATTACTAAGGAGAGGGACATATAAGAATGGACAACTTTATTTCACTAAACTATGTAAGATACTAGGATCATGAAATTATTTTATTTTGCTACTCTTCTGCTCATGATAACACAAAAAGGAGAAAAGCTTGATCCCACTGAGGTGCAGCATGGCCTCAGTGCGTTGAAGACTCCAAAAACCACCTTCTCCTCAACTTTAATGCTCAACGGATCTGCAGTGGAGACCACCTCTTATGTCTGTGACCACAATAGAGGCCAGCTCTCATCACACTGCAGCAGTGGAACCAGTTCCAAGAGTGAGAGAGATTTTAATAGTTTGCAGCTTCAGGACCCCTTAGCATGGACACACCACTGTAATAGTGGACACCAGCTGCAGTGGCAGTGGTCAGGCACTACCAAATGACTTAATAGCAAGCAGAGCTTTAAGCAGCAGACATCACGAGAGGGGGCCAGAATGGGGGAGAATCATGGCAGACACAGACAATAGCTGCTATAACTTGTTTACAAGCACCTGTTATATAACCTAACGGCACCTAGAGACAACTGGATGAGACTTTGAGGGTAGCTAGAACCACAACAGAGGGTTGGGGTAAAACTAATATACAAAACCCTTTATTACTATTAATATGGTTCCATTTTATCCTTAGATTAGTGTGGCTAGGGAAACAGCTTATAAGAAATTACAATCACATATGAAGCTGATAAGGAAGACAATACTAAAAGAAACACATGTGGCTGAAAAGAATGAGCCTATATTGAGAGACATGCTGATGACAGAAAGAGGCAAGAACAAATATGAAGGAAAAACCTCAGGAAAGATAAAGCACAGAACCAGCTGAGGTTAAAGATAACAAAAACAATTGCAGTTTGTTTTTTTTTTTTAAAAAAAAAAAACTATGGAGCAAGAAAATGGTGTAAGCTGACAGATGGCAGAGAAAGTATAACTACTTAACCATTACTTTATTTCTTTACTTTTTTTAAATGAAGAAAATGGCCTTCAAAGTGGGAGGTGAAAAACATAACTAAGCAGGAACTAATCTGGACAGTATAATTATGGTAGATCCTCTTTATTATTTCTTTTGTTTATTTTTTTGAATTAAAAAAAGCATCCACAGACAGTGTGTAAACAAATGGACATGGTTATGTTCTTTTTACTTTATTTTATTTTATTTTATTTTTGAGTGAGAGTCTCACTCTGTTCCCCAGGCTGGAGTGCAATGGCACAGTCTCAGCTCACTGCAACCTCCGCCTCCTATGTTCAAGTGATTCTCCTACCTTAGTCTCCTGAGTAGGAGGGACTACAGGCACGTTGCTACCATGCCTGGCTAATTTTTGTATTTTTAGTGGAGATAGGGTTTCACCATGTTGGCCATGCTGGTCTCAAACTCCTGGCCTCTTCAGCCTCCCAAAGTGCTGGGATTACAGATGTGAGCCACTGCTCTAGGCCCACTTTTCTCTATTTTCTAAAAATAGTTTTAGAATGAGTTATTATCATTTTTAGTTTAGAAAGACTCTATTTGATTGAAAAACAGGGAATTACTATTTGACATAAGTAAAAGATTTCTTAAGCGTTCAACTCAATGCCTTAGATGATGCTAAGCCCACAAACCCAGATTAATTACCTCCTAAGGTACTAAGAGAGAATAGATGTGATGGTGGGACAAGAGCTGATCATTTTAAAGGCATGATGGAGAACAAGAAAGTTGCTAGATTATATCTAATAAGTTTTACAGTTTATAAAGCAATGTTATATGACTAATATTAACTAGTATTATCTGCTATGTGCTAGGCATTGTGCTAGACCAAGAGTCTGCAAACTATGGCCCCCAGGATAAATTCAGCTTGCTGCTTGTTTTTATGTTAAAAACAGTAAATTAAGTGGTTTAAAAAAATCAAAAGAAGAAAACTTTATGACATGAAAATTAGAAAAAAAATCAAACTTCAGTGTACAGAAATAAAATTTTATTAGAACAGGCTGGGCGTGGTGGCTCATGCCTGTAATCCCAGCACTTTGGGAGGCCAAGGTGGGCAGATCACTTGAGATCAGGAGTTTGGGACCAGCCTGGCCAACATGGTGAAACCCCATCTCTACTAAAAATACAAAAATTAGCAGGGCATGGTGGCAGGCACCTGTAATCCCAGCTACCCGGGAGGCTAAGGCAAGAGAATTGCTTGAACCCAGCAGGCGGAGGTTGCAGTGAGCTGAGATCACACCACTGCACTCCAGCCTGGGCGACAGAGTGAGACTCTATCTCTAAATAAATAAATAAATAATAAAAAGAGCATAACCATGTCCATTTGTTTACATACTGTTTGTGGATGCTTTTGTGCAACTATAGCAGGGTTGGGTAGTTGTAACAGGGACTGTATGACTTACAAAGTCTAAAATACTTACTGTGTAGTTTTTTATCAAAAAAAACTTTAGCCATTCCTGGGCAAGATGCATATCTGATGTAATCTCTAATCCACAGCAACTGTGCAAGTTTATATTTTATTTCATTACTCTCTCCAGATCCAGCCCAGGAATGTGGGCTGGGAAGCCAGTATTATCCCTGTAATAAAACTGAAGCTCAGCCGGGTGCGGTGGCTCATGCCTGTAATTCCAGCACTTTGGGAGGCCGAGGTGGGCAGAACACGATGTCAGGAGATTGGGACCATCCTGGCTAACACGGTGAAACCCCGTCTCTACTAAAAACACACACACAAAAATTAGCCAGGCGTGGTGGCGGGCGCCTGTGGTCCCAGCTACTCAGGGGGCTGAGGCAGGAGAATGGCGTGAACCTGGGAGGCGGAGTTTGCAGTAAGCCAAGATAGCACGCCACTGCACTCCAGCCTGGGCGACAGAGGGAGACTCCGTCTCAAAAAAAACAAAAAACAAAACACAGAAGAGAAGCTCAGAGCATTTCAGTGACTTATTCAAGGTCGCACAGCTCACTTGGGACTCATATTGAAAGTGTTCACTAAGTGTAAGTTCCTGCTTTGTGTTTCTATACTATAAAACATTTCATATATTATAAATACATTAAGATATAACACATAAAATTATAAAGAAGGACTTTTATTTTTGTACAGTGCTTTACAGTTTATAAAAGCACATTTCACGAACTATTTTATTTGGGATCTCAGTTCTGCTAGCTTGGCAAGACAGGTATTGTTAGCCCCTTTTGCAATTGAAGCTCAGAAGGGTTAAATGGCTTGTCTAAAGTTATAGAACTAATTAGTGACAGAGCCAGGACCTGAACCCAGATCTTTTGTCTTCCAATTCAGTGCTAAGGGCATAATAAAATTGCTAATTTTTTTGCATTCTTAATATACCAGGAACTGTTCTAAATGCTTTACAGATATTAACTTATTTGAGTGTCACAATGACACTATGAAATATTTACTATTATTATTCCCATTTCACAGATGAAGAAACTGAAGCACAGAGTGGTCCAGTTACTTGCTCAAAACCACAGAGCTTGTAGTAGGTGATAGAGCCAGAATCTGAACTAGACCATCTGGCTCTAGAATCAGATGTCTTAACCTCTACAAACTCTGATTTTTCCCAGGGCATCTGACACAGCATCACTGATATTACTTTGAACCAGTTGCAAACCTGTGTGCTAAATGAAAATGCAGTTAGATGATCACGTTGTCAATTAAATAGCAATACTAAGATTTAATGTTTAAAGATCTGCAGTATCCTGAGTGGGAATCCCTCAAAGGAAAGGGATTGGTAGTAGAGTCTTCAGTAGTTTGTTAGTTTTTGCCTGCAGCATTGTGTTGCAGGTTACAAAAGCAAATATGTGGATTTACAGGTTATATTATCTGCTTTTAAGTAAGTAATCCTCTCAAAATGAGAGTATTGCCTAACGGGATCCCTGCAAAGAAACTGTGTATGGTAGGCAGTTTATATTTTCATATGCTAATAATGCAAACACAATCAACAAGATGATGGCAGAGCCACCACCTGTAAATTCAGGGGCACTCATTCATCAGCTGTGCTGAGACAAAAGTGATTGGTAATAATCTAAGGAGATATAACATATGTAGTCTCATTGCTCTCACTAGAAATATAATTAATAATATGCAAAATAATATACAATCATCAATAAAAATAATTTTGCAATCAAAACAGTTGGAGATCATGATGTACATATATAAAGTCAAGCTGAATCTATGGATGGGGAGCTGTATCATTGAGTGCAATATATACCAGGAACATTCAGGTAGTTAAAAGTTTGCGGCTTGTTCATATGACCTGTTTTGCAAATGTTACCAGAAGAATGTATAATTCAGGTATTGTAAGCAACTTCTTTGAAGTTATTTGCAATCATTCTAAAGCAGCAGTTCAGAGTGTAGTTCTAGGACCAGCAGCATTAAGCATCACCTGAGAACTAGTTTAAAATGCAAATTTTTGGACCCCACCTCAGATCTATCAAATGAGAAACTCTGGGGGTAAAGATAAACAATATATGCTTAAGCAAGCCCCCTAACTTATTTTGTTTATAGTTTAAGAATCATACATTGCCCAGGTCTAGAGCAGTTAGTACGAAATAGCTGAAAGAATAGGCAGGCATTTCTCAATACTCAACGATAATTAATATTGGATAAAGGCCATTTAAAGTGAATCTACCTAAGATCACAATTGTACAGTCTTGATACTCAAAGTCCAGAGACCAACAGCATCAGCATTCCTGGGAACTTATTAGAAATGCAGAATTAAGGATCCTTCTCCTGACCTAATTGAATAACAATCTGTTTTTTGTTTGTTTGTTTTGAGACAAGGGTCATAGCTCACTGCAGCCTTGAACTCCTGACCTCAAGCAATCCTCCCGCCTTGGCCTCCTAAAGCATTGGGATTACAGGTGTGAGCCACTGTACTGGACCAGAATCTGCATTTTTAACAGGAGTTCCAGGTGATTCTTATGCATATTAACATTTGAGATGTTCAGTTATCGAAAATAATTTTTAAAATGTTTGTTTGGAAATTAACTTTAAAATGACACTTTGGCTTTTTCTTTTGGACAAAATTGTATGATAGTGTGATACAACATTGTTTACCACTTCATGTCTGACTTTTATAGTACTGTCATAACTTTTACAACAAAAATAATTTGAGGGTTTTATTGTTTTCCAAAGGGCTTTATCTTTGATAATCAAATCATTCTCTTTTGAAGTGCCTAATCATCATCTCTGTTTATTTTATCTTAGTACATGCTCATCAGGCCTAACTTCCTCATTTGTCAATGGCTTTTATGTGATCCAGTAGTTTTCCAACATTAGTTCACTTATTTCATCAAACACATATTATTTTTCAAAGCTCACAATCCACTTAGAGTCAATTTCCATTACACTTGTGGATATTCATATGCAACATTCAGGAAAGAGCTGACTGACAAGCACATTGACAGGATGGGTGGGGAGGGAAGCCAGTGTTAAGCTGGAGGATGTTTGGGTGGGGATAAATTTGATAAGTGGCCAGGTTGTTAGTGAACATGTCTATAATAGGATGACTATTGCTGTCTTGGGTAACATGATAACTGGGCAGGCAGGCAAATAAAATCCAGATAACAATAACCTAAAAGTGAAGATGATTATCTCTGGGCAGTAAAAGTCCAGGCAATTTTTATTTCCTTCATTGTGCTTATCTGTAATTTCTAAATTTTCTAGAATGAATGCATGTTATTTTTGCAATCAGAAAAAAACTCTGTTATTTAACAATTTAAAAAATTGAGATATCATTTACATTCAGTAAAACGCAAAGAGATAAGTATTCAGTTCGAAGAATTTCAACAACTGTATGCATCCATGTAACCGCTCCAAACAAGATATAAAATATTTTCATCCCCAAAAGGTTGCTTTGTGTCCTTTTAAACCAGAAATTACCCTAATACAGCACTCCTTCTATAATTACCCATGGCCTCCAACACTTTCTCACCTCTAAAGTGGTTTCAGTGTGCTACTCTGGAATGACACATTATATCTAGATTTCAGCAAATATTCATTTTTTTTATACACAGAGGTAGTCGATGCTGCACTCTGCATTTCTTTCCATATACCCCTTTTGTGTATTTCTAACTCATACTTTGAGTAGAAAATGGGAAAAAATGTTTTCCTCCTATAATTTCCCCTCCCCCAGAACCATCCTTTTTCCTCTTTCCCTCCTGCTTTGAAACAGCTACTGAGCTGCCAGCAGAGGATTCTATTAAGATGAAAGCTTTGTCCTTGCAGAGGCAGACAAAGGGCTCTAAACAGAGCCTGCTCTCCAGTGTCTAGGAGAAGAGGTTACCATTCTGTCACAATGGTCTCTCCCATACCTTGCCCCCAACAACGCCCACATCTACCTCTCAAATATCTCGTTCTTATTGCTCCAGTTTATGGCAACGACAAAAACACTAAAAAAAATACTGATTCAAATATAATAAAGATGAAAACACACAAATAACTTTTACACATGTTGTCTCATTTTGTGAAGCTGTCTTGGAAAAACCCTCGAGTTCTGTGGGGGAAATACTAGTATTCACTCTTTCTTTTGTTCATTCATACCTGCACTTTTTTTTTTTTTAAGACAGAGTTTTGCTGTCATTGCCCAGGCTGGAGCGCAGTGGCGTGATCTCGGCTCACTGCAACTTCCGCCTCCCGGGTTTAAGCGATTCTCCTGCCTCAGCCCCCCGAGTAGCTGGGAGTACAGGTTTGTGCCACCATGCCCGGCTAATTTTGTATTTTTAGTAGAGACGGGGTTTCTCCATGTTGGTCAGGCTGGTCTCGAACTCCCGACCTCAGATGATCCACCCGCCTCGGCCTTCCAAAGTGCTGGGATTACAGGCATGAGCCACCGCGCCCGGCCCACAGCACATATTTTTATGTAGAGATACTGTGTGCCAAGCAAGATATTAGGCACTACATAACAATGGCAAAAAAGGAAGTGTTCCTCACAAAGCTTATTGTCTAGCTGGGGAGACAAATGAGTAAGTAGGCAAATATGATTTATTCAGAATGTACCAATTCGGGTATGCACTTATGGAACCCAAGGTCATTGTAATGGTATTCAAAAGTTGGAAACTATCTAACAATAATAAGTGTTAAGTTACTATTACTTTTGAAAGATATATTAGTGATATACTTTTTATTATTATTATTTTTTAGACAGAGAGTCTTACTCTACAGCCCAGGCTTTGAGTGCAGTGGCATGATCATAGCTCACAGCAGCCTCAAATTCCTGGGCTCAAGTCAACCTCTCATCTCAGCCTCCCAAGCAGCTAGGATTATAAGCACATGCCACCATGTCCAGCTAATATTTTTAAAAAATTTCTGTAGAAACGGTCTCACTCTCTTGCCCAGGCTGATCTCAAACACTTGTTCCCAAGATCTTCCTACCTTGGCCTCCCGAAGTGCTGGAATTACAGGCATAAGCCACCACACCTGGCCTTAATGACATAATTTACACTAAATGTTTTGAGAGGGAGGGAGAGAAAAGCTGAAAGCCAGAATGCTAACTGGAAGAAATATATTAAAAAGTTGAAAGGACTTATCTCTGTGAGATGGGATTTTTCTCCTTTTCATGTTTCTGTATTTTCCTAATTTCCTATGACAAGTATGTGTTACTTTTATAATTAAATTAAAAAACTGTAAGGTGAAAAATGTAAGATTGTTATAAGTATGCTGGCACCCAGTGATGGTAATATTTATCTTCAAATATACCTTAAGCTAAAATGTATCTTTCTAATGAAATTTTAGTTTTTAAATGTTCCTTTATAACTTTTCTTTCAATATTTTATCTATAATTAGCTTCCTGGTTTTAAAATTTCACATTTAAGGAACAACTTTCAAATATGTGCCTATGTATTCAGAGATATTTACAGTGCTTTTGTACATTATGTCATTTAATCCAGACAGTAATCCCATGAGGTTGGTGTTGTTATCACCTTTTTACAGAGGAAAAGCAAGGTTCAGAGATATTAAGGAACCAAAATCACAGTTAGTGGGTAGCAGAGACAGAGCTCCAATACAATTTTTTCAAAACTGGAAATTCAGAGTTTCCTGCATTTCACAATGGTGCCTGTTATGTAGCTCTGAAATGATTCCAAACACTTACATAGATTGCTACGTGTGACATATGTTTTGCTGTGATAAGAACATGGAGTGTAATCCCCCTCCACATGGGAATGTTACGTTGCGATGTTATAGGACCAACAGATTCATATGCCTGCTGTGCAGTGACAGACAGGTACAGAGATAGCAGGGTTTGCAGCAGAGAAAGAGTGTAATGATCACAGGGCACCAAGCAAGGGGATGGGAGGAGACCCTTAAATCCATCTCTCCGAGAAGTTTCTAGCTGACGTTTTTCAGGGGGTCATGGAGGGTGAGGGGCTGGGAAATTGGGGTCATTGTTTTGTCAGGTAATGGGGATGAAATCATCAGGATGTGGAAACTGCATTCTTTGGTGAGTCATCTCTTCATGGGGTCCTTCAGACCAGGTGATGTCAGTAGTTTCACTGGTATACAAAACCTGAAAGAGCAAATGAAAACCTCAAATGGAAAACTTAACATTTTATAATGTTTAAATTGTTCTCTATAGAGCAGTTAAGGGGAACTATAATCTTGTAACAGGGTCTATGTGATTCTAAGGCAAGAGGCACAAAACAACTATGAGGGAGTGGGTCAGAGAGCAGGCTGACCTAGCGATTAATGCTGCATGTGCTGCAAGCTTGGTATATTTTTGTTTCTTCCTCTCACTTCTTCCATGATTAATTTATAAAGTTTACAGGGACGGTTTCAATACCTTATCAGACTAGATATATGAGTTATTGGCCTCAACTACTGGACTCCAAAATACATATAAACCCAAGAATTTTAATTAAGAACAATTTTTTTTGACATAGGGTCTCATTCTGTTGCCCAGGCTGGAGCAGAGTGGCACGATCATGGCTCACTGCAGCCTCTACCTCTTGGGCTTACGTAATCCTCCCCCTTCAGCCTCCCAGGTAGCTTGGACTATAGGCACATGCTGCCACGCCTGGCTAAATTTTGTATTTTTTTGTAGAGACGAGGTTTCACCATGTTTGCCAGGCTGGTGTCAAACTCCTGGGCTCAAGCGACTTGCCCACCTTGGCCTCCCAAAGTGCTGGGATTGCAGGCATGAGCCACCACGCCCAGCCGAACCCAAGATTTTGACAGAAAGATTGAGAGCTTAGGTGATGGGTGCCAGAGCTACTCTCTGCCAACCTCCCCACCAACACCAGCATCACTCACTAGCAGTGAGGGGCCTTGTGTGTCACCACGGATTTCCGCCATGTTGGTCAAATCATCTCTTCTGAAAGCCTCCCCTGTAAAGGTATACCTCAAACTTCTATTAGACTTTACATCCTTTACATCCGCAGAGGCCTGCTTCCATCCTAAGTAATTATATTCCTTTTTTTTTTTTTTTTTTTTTTTTTGAGACGCAGTCCTGCTCTGTTGCCCAGGCTGGAGTGCAGTGGCATGATCTTGGCTCACTGCCACCTCCACCTCCTGGGTTCAAGCAATTTTCCTGTTTCAGCCTCCCGAGCAGCTGGGACTACAGGCACAAGCCACCAAGCCCAGCTGATTTTTTCGTATTTTTAGTAGAGGTGGGGTTTCACCATATTGGTCATGCTGGTCTCGAACTCCTGACCTCAGGTGATCCACCCGCCTTGGCCTCCCAAAATACTGGGGTTACAGGCATAAGCCACTGCACCCAGCCCCTAAGTAACTAAATTCTAATAATTGGATTCTAAAGAAAATCAGAACTCGTTCACTATGTGACTAATGTACTTCATTTATGGAGTGCATTCCTGTGAGATTTGTTGTCATTATTCTCCCCCTCTTTAAGCATTGTAAAAAAAATCTGTTTGTATGTCAATAACCCATGTGATTCATGAAATCATATTCTGATCCTCTTGTTTTAACCACACAAAGTAGTGGCTTGCTAGCATTATTTATATCCCAATGTGCCCTAGACATTTCAATCAAGCAGAGATGTTTGGATCAGCATGGTATAAGTACACGTGTTCTCAAATTTATTTTCACTGTTGCTTCCTATAATTAACTACTGACATAATTTCAAATAGCTAATAGTTGCTTAATATGTAGAAATAACTGAATACAACTCATCTCTGCTCTATTTTTTAAATGTATTTTTAGTGTGTATTTTATTTTCTTGATTATAAATGTAACAACTGTTCATGTAGAATTTTTGTTAATTAGGATTAGTTTGCCATGCTGATTTTTAAAACATTTTTTCCCACTTAATGTGGTGGGTCTGTTATAGAATTGTTTCTAATTTAATATTCAAATTTTTATGAAAATAGGCCAGGTGCAGTGGCTCACACCTGTAGTCTCAACACTTTGGAAGGCTGAGGTGGGCATATTCCTCGAGCCCAGGAGTTCAAGAACTGTCTGGGCAACATGGCAAAACTCCATCTCTACAAAAAATATATAGAAATTAGCAGGGCATGGTGATGTATGCCTGTAGTCTCAGCTACTCTGGAAACTGAGGTGGGGGAATCCAATGAGCCCAAGAGGTTGAGGATGCAGTGGGCCATGATCGCACCACCACACTCCAGCCTGGGCAACAGAGCGAGACCTTGTCTCAATAAATAAATAAATTCATTTTAATGAAAATAATACATTTATGCAGATTAAAATAGTCAAATACTATGATTAGGTTTATAGTGAAAAATAGCAGTCCTCTTTACTCTTCCTCCCATTCTAATTCCCATTCTTCCACAGATAACTGCTGTTTTAGTCTATTCAAACTGCTCTAACAAAGTACCTTCGACTGGATAATTTATAAACAACAGAAATGTATTGCACAGTTCTGGAGGCTGGAGAGTCCAAGCTCAGGGTGCTGGCAGACTCAGCATCTGGTGAGGGTCCATTTCCTCATAGATGGCACCTTCTAGCTCCGCCCTCACTTAGTGGAAGGGCAAAGAGGGAAACAAGCTCCCTCACACCACTTTTATAAGGGCACTAATTACATTCACTAGGGCTCTGCCTTCGTGACCTAACCACCTCCCAAAGATCCCACCTCTTAATATCAACACATTGGAGATTAGATTTCAACATATGAATTTTGGAGGGACACAAATATTCAGACCATAGCAACCACTTTGGAAATATCTTAGCTATTTTGGTGGTATATACCTTGGTAATCTGAAATAACACGTGAATACTGCTGTTTTCTGTTTTGTATTGTTGTTTTTAAAATTTCAGTATCTGCTTTGACATGCTGGTTTCTATGGGAGCCCTTCATTTCCCTGGTCTTATGTTTCCACTTGGGGCAATGTTAGCAAAAATAACTCTTTGGGCCTCTCTCTCCATTTCTCACTCCCTCCTCCAGGAAGAAGGGACTTACTTGGCTAGTGAGCAGGCCTGCCTCAGCCTCTTCTTTCTCTTGGATGAACCTGCCTGAGGCAAGGTGCCTTCAATTTGGCTCTCCCATTTGGTGAGCATATTGAGGCAGTGTCTGTTCTGTGCAATAGGTTAGTGATGAAGGGGCTAAGTCTGCTTAACTCATAGTTGAAATATTAGGAAGATCACACTCTGTGCTCCAACCCAGCATTTGTTTGACAGAAGCTATTAATGCTCCCCTCCCAGGCCCCCACCTACCTCTAACTGTAAGCTCACCTGCTGTGGTGTGACAGCTTCCACCCTGCTGACAGCCTCCCACCTTAAGCTCTAGCATCTCTTTACTTCACCACAGCAGGGCTTTCTTTGGCCCGACAGGAGCTCTTAGTTGTATAAGCAGAATGAGAAATGCAGAGGCGTTTGCGTACGCCATCTTCAACAAGTCGACCAGCCTCCCTGTCCTCTGGTGGGACAATGCAAAGGCGTGTTCCACCCTGTTTCTCAGAAGGTCTCCAGTGGGACTGAGCTCACTGACACATTCTTAATGGCTTTTCTCCTTTTCCAGTCTCTCTTTCCCATACCCTCACTCCACTTCCTAGAATCACTTCCCCCAAAACCTTCCCACACCCAAACCTTGAAGCTGATATTTTGATCTTTATCCATCTGACTCTTATTACCATCTCTCAATTGATTCTGAACAATCTCCTATGATGAAAGATGAGGATTTAAGTGGGGCATGGTGGCTCATACCTGTAATCCCAGCACTCTGGGAGGCCGAGGTGGGTGGATCACCTGAGGTCAGAAGTTCAAGACCAGCCTGGTCAACATGGTGAAACCCCATCTCTACTAAATATACAAAAATTAGCCGGGCATGGTGGCATGTGCCTGTAATCCCAGCTACTAAGGAGGCTGAGGCAGGACAATTGCTTGAACCCGGGAGGCAGAGGTTGCAGTGAGCCGAGATCGTGCCACTGAGCTCCAGCCTGGGCAACAAGAACAAAACTTCATCTCAAAAAAAAAGAAAGATGAGGATTTAAGTCTGTTTCTCTCCCCACACTCTCCACTTACATACATGCGTGCTTTTCCAATCTGCATGCCTCAAATATAGTTATACAATCAGTATTGAATTAAATTAGTATTAAATAATTACATGATTATGACCATAAGTACATATCTGATCCACATATATACTACCTTAAACTTCCTGCATCAACTTTTGTCTATAAAACCCCTCTGACATGGCCAAATACATCTGACCATCTATCAGTCCCATTTTTTCTTGGCGTTGTTGCTCCTGCCTCCTGCTCCAGCCTGGCCTGGTTGCTGTCCGACCTGCTACCCAGATTCTGACCTTTGCCACCATCATGGGATGTCCCCTGGCCTCCTCTGGTGCTGGATATCCATTTTCCTCTTTCTCAGTTTACTCTCTTATTTTAGTGGAGCCCAATAACTCCCAGGAGCTTTCTGAGAAGCAGATATGGAAGGTAAATTATTTGAGTCCTTGCTTGTCTGAAAAAATCTTTAGCTTTTTACTTTATGTAGAGTTTAAGCAGACAGAGAATTTTACTTAGAAATCATCTTCTTTTAGAATTTGGAAGTTTTAATCAATTATCATCTAGTTTCCAGTGGTTGCTACTAGGAATTTTGATCCCATTTTGATTCCTGATACTTTGTGACCTTGCTTTGCTTTTCTCTTTCTTTCCTTCTTTCCTTTTCTTTTCCCTCCCTCTCTCTCTTCTTTCTTTCCCTTTCTTTCTTTCTTTTCTTTCTTTCTTTCTTTCCTTTTCTTTCTTTCTCTCTGTCTTTCTTTCTTTTCTTCTTTCTCACTTTCCTTCTTTTTTTTTTTTTGACAGGGTCTCACTCTGTCCCCCAGGCTAGAGTGCAGTGTCAAGATCTCAGCTCACTGCAGCCTTGACCTCCTGGGCTCAAGCAATCCTTCCACCTCAGCCTCCCGAGTAGCTGAGACTACAGGCATGTGCCACCATTCCTAGTTAATTTTGTATTATTTGTAGAGATGGGGTCTCCCTGTGTTGCCCAGGCTGGTCTCAAACCCCTGGGCTCAAGCAATCTGCCTGCCTCAGCCTCCCAAAGTGTTGGGATTACAGGCGTGAGCCACTGTGCCCAGACTAATTTTTCCTTTCAAGGAGTTTTCATAGATATGTCTTTTAAAATCTTTTGTCTTTTGAAATTTCATGATGTTGTTCTTTGGTTTAGTTTTTTGACCGGACTGTAACTGAAATGTTTTCATCAGAAAACTCAGGTCCTTAAATTCTGGGAAATTGGTTTGTACGTCTCTAATGCTCTTCCTTACATATTGCATCTGTTTGTCTTGTTTGTGTGTGTGCGTGTTTTGTTTTCTTGTCTTGTTCGTGTGTGTGTGTGTGTGTTGTGTGTTTTGGGTTTTTTTTGTTTGTTTGTTTTTAAGACAGGGTCTCACTCTGTTGCCCAGGCTGAAGTGTAATGGTGCAATCATAGTTCACTGCAGCCTCAAACCTCTGGGCTCAAGGAATCCTCCTGCCTCAGCCTCCTGAGTAGCTGGGACTCTAGGTGTGCACCACCATGCCTGGCTTATTTTGCTATGTTGCCCAGGCTGGTCTTGAACTCCTGGCCGCAAGTGATCTGCCCCCTTGGCCTCCCAAAGTGCTGGGATGACAGGCATGAGTCACTGCATCTGGCATCTGTTTATCTTTTTGTTCTTTCTGGGAAATACACTTGACCGTATATTCAAGCTTCCTTTTGATTTTTCATTTCTACCATCTTATTTTTTAATGTTGAAGACCTTTAGACTATTCTCTAAATATTCCTTTAAAAATAGTGTTCCTGAGATCACAGCCTTTCTGATACAACCATTTGAGAGAACAAATTTCCACTTTTCTGTCAGGGGAGGGAACGGGTAGCCACGTAGAGAGGGATGAAGAGATGGGGAAGTGGGTCATCTCCCTACTCCTTTTCAAGATTTTTAACCAATCCTTCTGTTTTAGGCCCAATTGTATCCCTACCTGAGCTCTTCTGTGATTCTACAGTTTGCTTCTTATTAGTCCTTTCCATGCAGCCCTCCTTTACTCTGACCTTTTCTCCCCCAATGCAGACTTAAATTTCAATTCTCTGGTCTGCTAAATCAATTACTACTCATACATATGTTTCTAGGAGGTAGAATATTTTTACCATAGAATTGTAAGATGATTGACATATACTTCCAACTACCTCTCTAATAACGGCATGACATTTGCATAGTGTGTTGTAGTTTCTTTTTTTCTTTTTTCTTTTTTTTTTTTTTTTTTGAGACGGAGTCTCGCTCTGCTCTGTCGCCCAGGCTGGAGTGCAGTGGCACAATCTCCGCTCACTGCCAGCTCCGCCTCCCGGGTTCACGCCATTCTTCTGCTCAGCCTCCCGAGTAGCTGGGACTACAGGCGCCTGCCACCATGCCCGGCTAATTTTTTGTATTTTTGGTAGAGACAGGGTTTCACCATGTTAGCCAGGATGGTCTTGATCTCCTGACCTCGTGATCCACCCGCCTCGGCCTCCCAAAATGCTGGGACTACAGGCGTGAGCCACCGCGCCCAGCCTGTATGTTGTAGTTTCTGTAGTACTCTCACATATATGCTCCCATGTCATCCTTCCATCAGTTTGGTGAAAAAGGGTTTATTATTCCCATTATGCAGGCTCATTTAGCACTTAAAGCAAGATAGTGATTGCTGAATGCCAACCACTAATAAGCCAGCCTTACAGATGATAATTTGTTTAATCCTCAAAACAACTTTTTACGGTAGGAAGTATTACTATCGCCATCTTATAGTTGGGAAAATTGAGGCACAGAGGTATAGTAATTTACCCAAGTTCCATTAGCTAGTACATAGTGAAGCTGAGGCTTGGCAGTCTACCTCTAAAGTCCATGATCTTAAATCGTATTTTATGTTGCAAATAAAATGTTAAATAACAGACTCAAAAAAAGTAATTTTCTAGAGTCAGACAGGAGATAAAGGGTTAGAACAAGTACTTGAGCCAGTGTTTTTGACTCCCTGCCTAAAATGCTCTCCAAATTACCATTCAAGGTGGTTGTCAACATTGAAATTTATAGCAGAGCAGTGAGACACCTCAGAGACATAAGTTGCTAGGGATTCTGCTCTTCTTATAGAGCTGTGATAAATGCACTTGGTATGTAAATATTTGATTCTATCTACAACTGGTTTCTTAGAATGGATTTTTAGAAGCTGTATTACTGGATGAAAAATACATGAGGTTCTTGGCACAATGTTTCACACTTGTAATCCCAGCTACTCAGGAGGCTGAAGCAGAAGGATCATTTGAGCCCAGGAGTTCAAGGCTGCAGTAAGCTATGATTATGCCACTGCACTCCAGCCTGGGTGACAGAGTGAGAGCCTGTCTAAAATATAATTAATAGCTGGGCACGGTGGCTCATGCCTGTAATCCCAGCACTTTTGGAGGCTGAGGCAGGCAAATCACTTGAGGCCAGGAGTTAGAGACCAGCCTGGCCAACATGGTGAAACCCCATCTCTACTAAAAATACAAAAAAAATAAGCTGGGTGTGGTGGTGGGCACCTGTAATCCCAGCTAATTGGGAGGCTGAGGCAGGAGAATTGCTTGAACCTGGGAGTCAGAGGTTGCAGTGATCTGAGATGGTGCCTCTGCACTCCAGCCTGGGCAACAGAGCGAGACTCCATCTCTAAATAAATAAATAAATAAATGAATAAATAAATAAAGGAGGAAATAAAATATACCAGAACAAATACTAAAATATTTCTCTGGCTTACAGAAAAGGTTTTCTTCTTAATTCTGTTTATCTAAAGATTTGTAAGAGAAGTAAAAATGATACAGTGAACATAAAACCAACCAACCTAAGATTTCCCCTTTTTCTTCTAGCAGAATCCAGTATTCATGGTCTATATTACTTTTAAATAAGAGAGGAAATTGCTATAAAATGCTTTTTACTATAATAATTCCTACCAAGTCCTATAAAACTTCTGGACTTCTGCACCACTGACAGAGTTATTAAGTAAAGCCCAGAGTTTATTGATGAAACAATGCTTTAGCAAAACAGCCACTGGCAGCTTAAGTAAAAGGGAGTAAGCACTTGACTTACAAAATTTACCTGAATAATTTCTGGCTGTTTTATAAATAAATAAATAAATAAATGGATTTTCCTAAAAGGAGAGTTCTAAAAGGAGAGTTTCTAAGGAGAATATTGCTCACAGGTGAATTCCACTTTTCAGAAACAGTGAACAATTTGAACCTGGCTACTGAGGTCCAAATTTCCTCGCACCCCCAGTGATTTAGTCTACTGGCAGGGTGGGAGTTTCCCAGGCACAACTGCAGCTGCCCAAGCTGCAGCTGCAACCCAGGCACCCCTGTGCTCTTGAGAGCCAGGAGCAGGCAGGAGTCCTGCCCTCCCAGGTGCAGCTGCAGCTGCAGCTGCTCAAGCCCTGGCTGTGGACCCAGGCATCTCTGCACTCTCAGGGCTCCGGGAAGGTCCCCCAATCCCCTGCAGGCTTGGAAGTGCCTGCTCCCACTGCTTGTCTTCTCTCTGCTCTCAGCACCCAATCCGGTCATGGAGCAAAGTTGAGGCTGAGCCTGGGCACTGTTGCAATCTGGCCGGGTGTGCACATGCTCAGGGCAGTGCTGACATGCCAGCCCCCTGCCGCTTTGGGCCCCTCTGGACTTTGGGTGCCAGTGATCACAGGAGAGAGGCTGGGGGGGTGCTGAGGGCAGCTCTGCGCTGGCCTGCAGGTGCCCCTTTGCACAAACAGCCTGGGCATCATGAATGGCGGCAAGAGGCAGACAGGCTCCTGGGCAGAAGGGGGCGGGTCCCTGGTGAAGCCCCACCTTCAAGCTGGGGAGGGCCTGTGCCTGGGGGATGAGCTGCTGGTCCCATGGACCAGAGTGGAAACTTGTGATGCCTTTTCCGGGCCTGCCCGTGGTTGCTCATGGACCAATCAGTGTGCACTTCCTCTCTCTGAGGCCCATAAAAGCTCTGGACTGAGCCAGACTAGAGGGATGACAGGACCACCAGCTGCAGAGAGAAGCTACCCCCTCTGCTGAGAGCTGAACACTTGTCAAGATGCCCTGCCTGCAGAGAGGAGCTACCCTCTCTGCTAAGAGCTGAACACTCACTGGGACACCCTGGCTATGGAGAGGGGCTGCCCACTTTGGGTCTCCTCCGAGCTGCTCTATTGCTCAATAAAGCTCCTCTTCATCTTGCTCACCCTCCACTTGTCTGTGTACCTCATTCTTCCTGGACACAGGACAAGAACTTGGGACCCCCTGAATGGTGGGGCTAAAAGAGCTGTAACACAAACAGGGCTGAAACACACCCCTTACTCACCACATTGAGGGCAACCAGAAGAGAGGAGAGAAGAGCTGCAACCCTTCAGGGAGCCCAGACCTAGGAAATCCCCAAGCCAGGGCTATGACACCCTCTTTAGGGCTCTGCAGTTCCTGGTGTCTCCAAGCTTTTAGGCACCACCACATTCCCCAATGTGAGCTGTGGAAGCTGCTTATGGTACACCTGTTCTAGCTGCAGCCTGGCAGGGAGCCTACACCCATGCTAGCACCTGGAGCTGCTCGCCCCAACGCAGCCAGCATGACTGGTCATGTGCAGTGGTCAGACCCCACACTCGCTCACACACCCTTTGCTGCTCCATGCCTGGCTTGGCCTTGGCATGCATGGGATCCAGACCAGCAGCATGAGCCTAGTGCAGCCTGCTAGGCCAAGTGGGCAGAATGAGTCCAGTGGGCCAGAGCAAAACTCAGGCAAAGGTGCCACCAGCCATAGAGGTTTCTGGCTGGTGAAGCAACACCCCAAGGATCCCTTAACAATATGATTACTGAAAACTACCCCTTTTAAATACCAAGAGAAAGATGTGAGTGATTCAGGTGACTTCTCAAGAGAAATGTCAAAAATAAATATTTTGTTTGTATCTTTGAACTTAGCAAGTCATAAATCTCAGCTTGTGAATTGCTATCTTAGAGTATACTGTAGGACAGAGAAACTTTAGCAATACTCAAAGCAGCAGTTGAAAATGCTTCCCTGAGAGTGGGTGGTTCTGGTTGCTTCCTTGGAGTACATTGTCAGCGACCAACCATGAAAGAAAAGTCTTTAGAGATTAAACATAATAATATGAATTTTTTTTAAAAGACAGCAGAAGCAGAACAAGTTAGCTCTGAGTCAAACTGACAGGGATAGATACTGTCAAGTCTTGTTCTTTTATTTTATTATTTTACTCATCCTCATTTAACAGATGGGAAAACAGAGACACTAAGAGGTTGAATAGCTTGCCCAAGGCTACACAACTGCAAACTGGATTTGAACCCAGATGGTCTGACTCCAGAGCTCATGCTGGTAACAACTGTGTTATGCTGTGCCCAGACCTGGTACTAGCAATTTGTTTTAGTAATAAAGGCAGTTTCATTTAGTGCTAGTAATAAAGGCAGTTCCATTATTACCTCTGAGCAGTCACTGTCTTGTTAGGGAGAGAAATCTTTTACTTTTATTTTTAACTTTTTTTAAGAGATGGAGTCTCACTATGTTGCCCAGGCTGGTCTTGAACTTCTGGCCTCAAAGGATCCTCCTGCTTCAGCCTCCCAAGTAGCTGGGATTACAGATTACAGGTGCAAGCCACCATACCTGGTGGGGACAGAAATCTTGCATACACAAAGATTATTGTGTTAAGTAATAGTTAAGTAATACTATTACTTAACTCAAACGTTGTGAGGATGAAATTAGTTAATTCATGTAAAATGCTTAGAATATCACTATCCTTCATAACTTTACATATATACTTGACATATATTATCTTTTGAAGTTCTAAAAACCACTTTATAAATACTTACTTATAAGTACTTGCCTTGTAAGTACTTATAAGTAAATATTATTAACTCCATTTTACAGATGAAAATATCTAAACTTTGGGGCCTGAAACACCTTCATTTGAATTTTACCTCTTAGATGTTTTTCTTTTTCAAGTTAAAAAATAATAATAATCCTGAGCTGACATTCAGAAGAATATGCCTACCTCCTATGCTGACTGTTAGAGTTGAATGAGTCAAGGAATGTAAAGCACCTTGCTCCATGCCTGGTGAATGTTAGCAGGACTGCAGCTTTGTCCATCTCTAGAAAGCTTTGTTCACATTATAATGTATATAAATGGAGTCCCAATTTCCTTCCTGATGCAATAATCCTAATTCAATCATATTTACTTCTTTTGAATACTTTAGTAATGAAAAACTTACTTTACTAAGTGGCCTATTATTTTTGAGGATTTTTAATTGTTAGGAAGTTCTTCATTGTGGTGAACTGAAGTCTGCCCTCTTATAACATGGACCCACTGAGATGAGCTCTACTCCTTTCAAAGGCACAGAAGGAGTCTTATGCAGGGTCCTTACAGTCCTTACACAGGGCGGGTGATGGGGAGGCATAGGCCAAGAATATCTATGGATACATTTCAAGGGTCTATGAATTTAGATGGGGAAAATATACAACATCCTCATTTTCACTCATCTCTAAATTTAGATTTCCTTCAATTATTGAGTGGAGGCAACAAATCACAGTAGCATTAATAGTCTCTATGACTTTGTCAGTTACAGGAATCACAGATATTTCTGTATCATATTCCTGTTGTCCTAAAAATCTTAAAATCTCATTTATTCAGGGTAACCGCAATTTCTGAAGTTTTTAGGCCTGCCGCTACACCTTATTATTTGCATTAATAAAAAACATACATGTTGCTATAGCACAAGCTTGTTTAAAAAAAAATTTCAAGGACTGTCTTTCAACATAATTGGTTTCTTTGTAATCCTATGCATTATAGTTTCTACATTTAAAAACATTATTAGAATAATGTTTCTATGGAATATGGAAAGGGTCCATAAGCTTCTCTGGATCACCAAGGGGTCCATGGCATAAAAAACTTTTAGAAACTCTAGTCTAATTTCTTATGTATAAGTCAGGCCTTCAAATATTTGAAAACAGCTTTCTCTTTTTCAGAAAAAAAGGTCCCTGGTATCCTATTTCAGGACAATATTTTTCAGGAAGCTGCAGCCTGGGAAGGGCCAGCCCAGGAATGAGATCCTCCTGCTGGGGAGATGGAGCCGGCATCACAGGACCAGAGCCAGCTGCCCATGCGGGCAGCAATACCGTTCTGCAGCAATGCATGATGGTGGAGGGAAGGCTAACAAAAATAGGTGGTATTTCAAGAAAGTAGTCCATGTGCCTGGGTGTGCATGGTTGGGGCGGGGGCCGGTAGTGGTGAATGCGATAGTAAGAGAAATTAGCAGAGTCCCATTTAGTGGACAGAGCTCAGAAGCAGAACAGAAATCCCGGGTGTTAGGCATTATGCTAGGCAATTTATAGACATTAGTGGTTTTATCCTCAAAGTAAAGCAGTGTGGTGAATATTATTTCACCTAGTCTCTTTCTGAGCTACCCAAAGTTTAGAAAAAGTTAATTTACCCAAGTTTATCCAGATGTCTAGAAAACTAGGCAAAGAGCTGGAAAGCTTTTGAGGATATTTGGGTAACTAGTGAGCATGCTCTGGGGTGTAGTGAGAGGGTTTTTAGCTATATGGGGTTGGGGTTGGGGTTCACAAGAGCCAAGAAAGACCTTCCTCCTAAAGTGACTTGGGGAATTAACAAGATACAGAGAAGCACTCCAGTACAGAAACAAAGCAGAAACCACGTATCAGAACCGGTACCTAAAATGGCGCACGAGTCTTTAGAACAAGGGGAAGCGTACAGTCACCCTTTCACCTCTATGCCTTTGCTCATGGCATTCCTTCTGCCTTATTCATATGACTTCCTCCCCTATGACAGCCAAAGGCCACCCCTTCCTCCTTTAGACAGACCAAATGCCTGTCAATTGATCATCTGTCTCTGGGGACTTCATCTGATTTATAATACTCTTTTTTGCCTTTCAGTTAGATCATTTCCCCTCTCAACCTGGTGTTATTTAACAAAGGCATGCAGAATCAAAGTGTCAGCTTACCTACAGAAACACGATTAAATGGTTTTAGTAAGAGTGCCAATAAGTGTATCTCTAAATGGATCTTTATTCATTTCAGGAAAAATACTGGTATTTAATCTAAAATATTTAACAGAGTTTTTTAAAAAGATGAATGTTTCTTAGGAGATATACCTAATGCTAAATGACAAGTTAATGGGTGCAGCACACCAGCATGGCACATGTATACATATGTAACTAACCTGCACATTGTGCACATGTACCCTAAAACTTAAAGTATAATAATAATAAAATAAAAAATAAAATTAAATAAATAAATAACAATCTAGAACTAGAAAAAAAAAGATGAATGTTTCATCATGTACTTTCCCCTCAAGTCTTATAAAACCCATTTGTGCAAGTATTGCTTAAAAATATTGTTTATGCAAAAGATTTATTGGGTGTGCATCATCAATGAGCCTGAAATGGTATATAAAAGATAGGATGCATTTTACTATTGGTGTTTGGATGCACCATAATATTGACAGAATTGATTTCAATTCAAGAAGCACTTATTGGACAAATGCTATTAACAGAAGCTACTCTGGGAGATTAATCATTGAAGAAGATATACTCTCTGCTTTCAAAGAACATTTCATTTAATGGCAGGGACTGAAATAATACACGAATGCTTATGGAGAGTTAAACAAAATGTAGCAATAGCAATATCTTCTTTCCTGCCAGAAGTAATCCTTGGAGAACAGGATTTGTCTTTTTCTTCCTTCCCTCACTCCTCCTTCATTTTCTTAATTCTTTAAATCATTCATAACATCTAACATACATGCTTCTTATAAGAGATTTCTAATAAATTTCAGGTAAATATTTGATTTCAAGTATTCTCAAAGTAAACCAGTGTGGTGAATATTATTTTTCCTATTCTCTTTCTGAGCTACCCAACATTTCAGTTTTGTAGGCTTCTGTATTTTGGCAGTATATAATGTGGGTCTAGGTGAATGCTATGAGTAATTCTTGCAAGTCACTAATTGATTATTTGCTTTTTCCAATTAAAAGACTATCCTTTTAACAATCTCTTGCATTATTATTATTAGATCAGCTTTTACTACAGGCAATATGAGTGTTACAAGTCAGATTGATTTCTCTGAGACTTCGTTTCTCTTATTTTAACACAGAAGGAATATTTTATTGTATGCATACTCTTTTAAAAACTCACAAAAACCAAACCCACAGGTAGAAGCAAAGAAAGTCTTCCAGCATCTCTGGGATAGGGCATCATATCTTACAGAAACATAAATAATACAAGAATGAAATTTACAAATTAACATTACCCTTTGCTTCTCCAGTCAAAAAAGGCTATAGAAAAAAACACTTCAAATTGTATTCTAATATAAATTTGTTACACAATCCAACTTCAATTTACTCAAAGAGTTATTTTATTGTAAACTGCAGAAAATAGAGTAGGCATCTAATAATCTGTTCATAATTAACAGTTAAGAGTTAGACAAATAAATATAGCATGTATTACTTGTTAAACCTCATATTTATAATGAGCAAATGGTTTATCATTAATAGTAACTGGTTTCTTACATTTTAGGAGAGACCAGATCCAGTAATGGAAGTAGAAACTACTTTAATGAAAACTGATTTTAGAAAAATATTTCCATGGGTCTGAGCTACTATAGTATTTATTACATATTTGGGTCCATTTCAACAGTTTAAAAATGTAGATGCTAACAAACTGAATTTTTTAGGGAGAGAACAAAGTAATACATCCTATAGAAATATTTTTTGTTTACATCCTGTAGGAGTCTAGGTAGCAGGACAGAGCTAGGACACGGTAAATAGAGAATTACAATGTAATGAATAATTAGCTTCTACCTAAGGCTATAGAGGTATTGCTATCACTTGGACTAATAAAAGGCAATTTAAAAACTGTTTATAATGAAGAATTGTGAGCCTAAGTTTCAATGTCAATGACATTGTTGGGATAGATGATCTCCAAGGTCTCAAACAGTTCTAACATTTCTGTGCTTCCTTGACACCTATCAGAAGAGACCCCATTTTCTTTATGTAACCCATCACTTAGTTTCGTAATGGTGATTTGGTTCTATAATAGTCACAAGACCTGTGTAAGGAAGATGTCAAGATGTTTTAAGAAGAACCCTATTATAATATGGTTTAACATTAAGAAAATTCTGTGTGTGTGTGTGTGTGTGTGTGTGTGTGTGTGTGTATTATTGGTCAAATCAAAGTCTCTAAAAAATGCTTACATAAAGTAAAAGCTCTCTATAACGTTATTAGCTGATTATGCTGGTAAGCATCCTTTACATAATAATTCTCCTCCCTTGTATTGAATTAAATTAATTCTCCTGCCTATATTGGCATATAAACTTTGGGGGTTTTTCTCTTATTTAGTATAGGCTTTAGGGGCATATAAACTTTGAACCACATAAATGAAAATTACTTTAAGTATATTTGGAGATGGAAAGAGACCCTTAATATTGAAGCAGCCATGCTTTCATCTTCAGAATATTTAAATGTACATTGTTAAAATGTAAATTGTGAATAGTTTGAAAACTGAAAGTTCTTTCTTAAAAATTAATTTCTTTGATTTAAAATATTACGTGCTTTGAAATAAAATGGGATATATACTGCATACTTAAAGAGATTTCTTCTTGAGGCTCACAGCACTTCACAAGCATGAAATAATGTGCAAATGCATTAACTCTGGTTATTTATGACAAGTCTCTAAGGGGAGGTAAAAGAATGGTCTCCAAGACATTTTCTCTTTAAAAAATTAAAGTTCTTTAATTATTGATATTGAGAATTTCAGTTAAGTGCCATATGTCTGGGTTAAACTTTAACCTTTTTTGTAATGCAATTAAATCCAAGAGATAGATATAGGCAAATACAGAGCAGGCCAGCCGAGAAGTGTAATAGTGACTCGGAAGCAATGAGAGGTAAAACTAGGAAGAAAGGAAATGCCCAAGCAACCAAAGCCTTCCTCCTCCCAGCCCCAAGTTCCTCTAGTACTTAATCCTTAGGAGCCAGGACAATTCTGATTCAAGAGAACGCACCTAGGATTATCAGTTGCTTACCTGTGCTTGTTAAAGTTTGAAGCTGTAAAACATATACATGTAATGATAACAAGGAAGTGTAATTTACTGAAGTCTGACTATGCCTTAGGCATCATACAAATTTCTAAGCTATAACTCTCTAGCAGGACAATTCTTTACAACTTCCACTTTTGTACCATTTTGCTCCTTGTTGTTTTCCAACCAGGCGCCCACAAGAGAAAAGAACCAAAAAAAGTGAAGTGTTGCTTAAATAATACTAATATTCAATCATTATTAGAAAGAATAATAGCTCTAAAATATCAGTGTAATGTTAGGTATTCCAAAGGTACTTGGAAATGCAGTGTGAATATCAAACTTTCCCAAAATTTGGAGTCTTGGTAATAACTACATTTATTGTCAATTGAAATAGACAAAATTATTACCAGAATCCCCCCACCCTCCCCCCCAGCCCCATGTAGGTCAGGTCTCACTGCTGAGTGTGCTGTAATTATGTACACCAAATGAGCTACAGCTTGAGCTAATAATATCATACTGAGTACTAGGAAGCTGTAATTATATACAACAACATAATGTAAGGTTGGCAAGATTTTTAGTACTGGGGAATCTAGTGTCAAACAGCATCTAGCAGAGTTAAAAGCTGAACTTGAGGATTAGAATAATTGGTCTACACTGAACTGATACAGGTCATTGTGGCTCAAGCAGAATGAATTGTGTGTCTATTAGATAGCCAAATGCAATGATAGTAAATACACCTAGACATAGTGGAAAGTCTTAAATCACATATTGCATTACTTTACAACATAAAGCATTTTAAAGATTGAGCACTGGCTACATGTCTGTGCACCATGCTGAATGCAGGAAATTTTAAAAATCAAAACAAAACCAAGATAGGAAAAGAGAATTCCTGACTGTCAATTGCTCATAGTGGCACATATAATTATGACACAGGGTGAATTTGTGTTATAATAAAGATAAGTACAAAGTCCAATGAATTAACAATGCAGTGACAGGTCTGCTGCCTTTAATGATAACTTTACAACAAATCATACTTCTATTGCTTTGCAAAAAAAAAGTTTCCCTCACCTGGTACAGTGGCTCATACCTATAATCCCAGCACTTTGGAAGGCCGAGGTGGGTGACTCACTTGAGCCCAGGAGCTCAAAACTGACCTGGGCAACATAGTGAGACCCTGTTTCTACCAAAAAAAAAAAAAAGTTTAAAAATTAGCCAGGTGTGGTGGCACGCCTGTAGTTTCAGCTACTTGTGAGACTGAGGAAGGAGGATGGCTTGAGCCCAGGAGGTGGAAGCTGCAGTGAGCTATGACCACACCATTGCACCCCAGTCTGTGCAACAGAACAAGACCCTGTCTTGAAAAGGGAAGAAGATATTTCCCTTAAATTTCATGCATTTCTCATATTTCCTGATAGAATAATACAGGATCAGCTTCATAAAGTTGTTTCTGTTAGGAATTTCTTCCTCCTTGATAAACCATTGTATTTTATAATGTGTCCTTCCTACTCTAAAAGCAGCAAAGATTATTCCATTGTTACAAACTTGTCTTTCCATCTGCTCTCCTTAACAAGGGTTAATCTTAGTGTCACTTTTCAATGCCTTAACTCTGAATTCCATTTAGCTTACAGAAAGTTTTAGGAAAAAATCTGTTTGGTGGTGTTTAAAATACATGTGCTCTAATTTTTCCAAGTGCCACACTTTTATTCGGGAAGAAATTACTTGTTGGCTAAGTGATTTCTTAGGTTTTTAAGTAGTGAAGAAATTTTCAGTCCAATCAATTTGATCATTTTCAGGAATTTGTTTCTCTGAAGGCATCTAAATTTCTTGTGAATATTTTGGGAAATGTAGAGTATATACAAGTATATTTTTGCATGGAAACGTTGCCTGTTTATTTATTTATTTTTTGAAATGGAGTCTCGCTCTGTTGCCCACGCTGGAGTGCAGTGGCATGATCTCAGCTTACTGCAGCCTCCACCTTCTGGGTTCAAGCAATTCTCCTTTCTCCTGAGTAGCTGGGATCACAGGCACATGCCACCACACCTGGCTAAGTTTTCTATTTAGACGAGGTTTCTCCATGTTGGTCAGGCTGGTCTCAAACTCCTGACCTCAGGTGATCCGCCCACCTTGTCCTCCTAAAGTGCTGGGATTACAGGCATGAGTTATCGTGCCTGGCCATTGCCTGTTTATTCTGATGGAGCATAATTTGATTGTGCACATATTGTTCCGTTCAGGAAATGATGTGTATATTTTATGCACAATTAACCTCTTGAAGCTCTTATTAAGCAATAACAATCACTTTGACTTAGTTATTTTTGATAGATCATCATTTAGGAAATTACTCAAGAGATCAAGAGATTCTTTTTTTCCCTCTAATACATGTGCTTAAATTTTCTGTGTGTTTTGTTTGTTTGTTTGTTTGTTTGTTTGTTTTTGGCGGAGTCTTGCTCTGTCACCCAGGCTGGAGTACAGTGGCATGATCTTGGCTCACTGCAACCTCTGCCTCCCGGGTTCAAGCGAGTCTCCTGCCTCAGCCTCCCCAGTAGCTGGGATTATAGGCACGCACCACTACGCCCAGCTAATTTTTGTATTTTTAGTAGGGATGAAGTTTCACCATGTTGGCCAGGCTGGTCTCAAATTCCTGACCTCATGATCCACCCACCACGGCCTCCCAAAGTGCTGAGATTACAGGCGTGAGCCACCGCACCCAGCCTAAATTTTCTTCTTATTGTGAGTACTGGTGAGAATGTTCAGAGATTGTTAAGCATGGCTATTCAAAAAAAGCCAAAGAATATTGGTTATTGTTCTGCTTGCTGAGATAAAGTAGTAAAAGTGGTTTCACCCATTGTAACATAAAACATTCCTAAAAATTTATAATTATATAGCCAAAAAAGGACTGAGCCTATGAAAAGGAAGCAAAAGGTAATTATAGGTATTTATTTGGCAGAATTGAACAAGCCGATCACTGAAATGCAAAGCAGATACTACCTGTGCCATTAAACTAGAACAGCTGATTATTATAATGTGCTCCACAAGGGTTCAATTCACTGTTTCTCTTGCTATATGTAGATCACTAGATTACTGTTTTCTCCTCATCTGTTCCAGAGAAAGTACAGAATTTCTTTTTCTTTTTTTGGTCTTTTCTTTCTTTCCCTTTTTCTCTCCCTCTTTCTTTTTTTGCAGATAAGGTAATCCCGACTGAATCAACAGAAAGACTATAGATTTAATAAGAGAATTCAGCAAGAATGCAAGCTACAAGATCCACTCACAGAAATCAATGTTCCTCTGTATCAACAATAATCAACTAAAAATATAACAGATTCTATAATGTCATTCACAATAGCAATCAAAAGATAAACTATGAATTTAACTGAACAATTCATAAGACCTTTATGAAGAAAAAGTTTTAAATTTATTTAAGGGCTGGAAAGCCTAAATAAATGGAGTGCTATGCCTTGTTCATGGAACAGATGGCAATACTGTAAAACATGGAAGTTCTCAAAATTAATCTATAAACGCAAGTCAATGCCAATTAAAATTAGAGAAGGACTTTTAAAAAATGAATTCAACGTACTTATCCTGACATGTATAAGAAGACCAAATATTTTATGAATAATTAAGGCAACTTAGAAAAAGGTCAGAGAAAGAGGGCACCTTACTGCCAGATATCAGACAGTTACAAAACTATGGTAATCAAAAAAGTGGGACGTTGGCTTAGGAACACATATACCAGTGAAACATGCAACAGAGCTCAGTAACAGATGCATGCATATGCACAGGCAGAGAAAGGTTGATAAACTGTTTCATAGATGGTATTGGTCAAGGTTGCCAGCAGCTGTAGTAAAAAAGTAAAATTTAAAAGAAAAATTTAAAAGAAAAAAATAGTATTGGGAATATGTCACTGTATGAGAAAAATAATGCTGTATTCTTAGCTTATACCAGTGTTTCTCAACCCTTTTCCTTATTATCCTCATAAGAAATCATGTTAGACATTTTCTCCCAATTTTCCTCCTTCTCAATGAAATTTTAATATCACAGGTATACTGTATATCTCTTTATATATTATGCCACTTAGGAGAGCCATAAACCATTGTAATATCTACTTTTTTTTTCCTACCCCTAAGAACCAATTTTCACTCCCTTCAGAGTGATATCACCCCCTGCCCATTAAGAATGCGTGCTTGTACCATATGCAAGAGTGGAATCCAGTTGGATTAAAGTACTAAATGGAAAAGATAAAACTGAAAAGCTAATGGAAAAGAAAAAAGAGACATGTGAAGTATTTCTCAGGCTTTCAAGTGTAAAAGGTCTTCTTAAACCAGCTCCTTTTTTGCACAAACTCTAAGATAAAAAAGATGACATTAAAATTAATGGCTCTTTATCAAATGTTATAATAGGCAAAGTTTACATAGAGATCACAGTACGGACAAAGATATTTGACACAAGTAAAGCCAACAGGGGATAGATATCTACCTTAGAGAAGACATTCCTGTTAATTAAATGAGAAAATGATAAACCCAAAAGAAAAATGGGTAAAGGATATGAATATGGCATTCGCATAATGAGAAACTCAAATACCTAACATATAAACTTTGCAAGTAATTAGAAAATAAAATAGAGATTAAAACTACCGGTGGAAAAGAGGTCATGAAACCAAAAAGCCAGAGTACTAAAAGGATAATGAATATACTGATTTCTTCAGAAAATGAGAGGGAGTAACCTAGAGTTTCTATATAATTACAATAAGAAAGGGTTATCCAGTGATACAAGCTTTATATATAGGGTATTTAGAAAGAAAGAGAGAAAATTGTATAGGAGATTTGGGAAACAATCCTTCAGTGGTCTTTTATGTTTATGCAATTCTTATGAGAAGACTGCCTTTGTTCTGAACTACCTTTTCAAGGATGTTTGTATAGAAAACACCTTTGGAAGATGGAGATAATTAAGGGAAGGTTTATTTACTGTTCATTATAATAAAAAATATATTTCTTTAGGGCAAAGATCAGGCAGTCTTATTAACGATTTAAAGAGATTTAAGCAGGTTGCAGTGGCTCATGCTTGTAATCCCAACACTTTGGGAGGCCATGGCAAGAGGATCACCTAAGACCAGGAGTTCAAGATCAGCCTGGGCACCATAGCGAGACTCCATCTCTATAAAAAATTTAAAAATTAGTTGGGCTTAAAAGCAATCTACAAATTCAAGCAATTCCCATCAAAATACACCATCATTCTTCACAGAATTAGTAAAAACAATCCTGAAATGCATATGGAACCAAAAAGGAGCCTGCATAGCCAAAGCAAGACAAAGCAAAAAGAACAAATCAGGAGACAGCACAAAACCTGACTTCAAACTATACTATAAAGCCATAGTCACCAAAACAGCATGGTACTGGTATAAAAAACAGGCGTATATGCCGGGCACAGTGGCTCACGCCTGTAATCCCAGCACTTTGGGAGGCCGAGGTGGGCAGATCACCTGAGGTCAGGAGTTCGAGAGCAGCCTGACCAATATGGTGAAACCCTGTCTCTACTAAAAATACAAAAATTAACCGGGCATGGTGGCAGGAGCCTGTAATCTCAGCTACTCAGGAGGCTGAGGCAGGAGAATTGCTTGAACCCAGGAGGCGAGGTTGCAGTGAGCCAAGATCGCACCATTGAACTCCAGCCTGGGGGACAGAGCAAGACTCCGTCTCAAAAAAAAAAAAAAGGAATATAGACCAATGGAAAAGAACAGAGAACCCAGAAATAAAGCCAATACTTACAGCTAACTGATCTTCAACAAAGCAAACAAAAACATAAAGTGGGGAAAGGATGCCCTTTTAAACAAATGGTGCTCGGATAATTGGCAAGCCACATATAGAAGAATGAAAGAAAGAATGAAGCTAGATCCTCATTTTTTCACCTTTAAAAAAAAATCAATCCAAGATGGATCAGAGACTTAAATCTAAGACCTGAAACTATAAAAATTCTAAAAGTGAAAAACCATTCTGGACATTGGCTTAGGCAAAGACTTCATAACCAAGAACCCAAAAGCAAATGTGACAAAAACAAAGATAAATAGATGAAACTTAATTAAACTAAAAAGCTTCTGCACAGCAAAAGAAACAATCAGTAGAGTAAACAGAGAACCCACAGAGTGTGAGAATATCTTTGCAATCTGTACATCCGACAAATGACTAATATCCAGAATCTACAAGGAACTCAAACAAATCAACAAGAGAAAAACAAACCCATCAAAAAGTGGGCTAAGGACATGAATAGACAATTCTCAAAAGAAGATATACAAATGGCCAACAAACATGTAAAAAAATGCTCAACATCACTAATGATCAGGGAAATGCAAATCAAAACCACAATGCAATACCACCCCACTCCTGCAAGAATGGCCATAATCAAAAAATCAAAAAATAATAGATGTTGGCATGGATGTGGTGAAAAGGGAACACTTTTACATTGCTGGTGGGAATGTAAACTAGTACAACCACTATGGAAAACAGTGTGAGATTCCTTAAAGAACTAAAAGTAGGCCAGGCGTGGTGGCTCACACCTGTAATCCCAGCACTTTGGGAGGCTTGGGGCAGGCAGATCACAAGGTCAGGAGTTCAGGACCAGCCTGGCCAAGATGGGGAAACCCCATTTCTACTAAAAATACAAAAATTAGCCAGGCATGGTGGCACACACCTGTAATCCGAGCTACTCAGGAGGCCGAGGCAGGAGAATTGCTTGAACCCAGGAGACAGAGGTTGCAGTGAGCTGAGATCACACCACTGCACTCCAGCCTGGGGGACAGAGTGAGACTCCATCTCAGAACAAAAAAAAGAACTAAAAGTAAATCTACCACTTGATGCAGCAGTGCCACTACTGGGTCACTACCCAGAGGAAAAGAAGTTATTTTATGAAAAAGATACTTGCAGATGTATGTTTATAGCAGCACAATTCACAATTACAAAAACATGGAATCAGCCCAAATGCCCATCAGTCAATGAGTGGATAAAGAAAATATGGTATATATATATATACACCATGGAATGCTACTCAGTCATAAAAAGGAATGAAATAATGGCATTCATAGCAACCTGGATGGATTTGGAGACTGTTATACTAAGTGAAATAACTCAGGAAAGGAAAACCAAACATTGTATGTTCTCATTCATAAGCAAGAGTTAAGCTATGAGGACACAAAGGAATAAGAATGATACAATGGACTTTGGTGACTCAGGGGGAAAGGGTGGGAAGAGGGTGAGGAATAAAAAACTACACATTGGGTACAGTGAACACTGCTTGGGTGATGGATGCACCAAAATCTCAGAAATCACCACTAAAAAACTTATTTATGTAACCAAACTCCACCTCTTCCCCAAAAAACTATTGAAATAAAAAAGGAAAAGAAAAAGAAATTAGTTGGGCTTGGTGGCATGTGCCTGTAGTCCCAACTACTCAGGAAGCTGAGGTGGGACAATCACTTGAGCCCAGGAGTTCAAGGCTGCGGTGAGCTATGATTGTGCCTCTTGCTGCAGCCTGGGTGACAGAGAAAGACTTTGTCACTTAAAAAAAAAAATCGTGTCTCCTAAGTTAGGGTGCCTCTCCTATGATGCATCCCCTGTATGCAGGAGTCACCTGACCCTCTTTGTGTTGCTCTGTAGAAATTGGGTTTCAAGGAACTGGTCGAGGAAAAATGATACTCTAGCAATTGCTGTTTCTATGAGTAATAAATTGTTCTTTGTCTCTGATACAGGAGTCTCATTTCTTCTGCGAGCATCTGTGAAATTGTGTCAGGCTTTTAGCTTGTAAGAACAGTAAACCCTTTCGGCCGGAACCGCCATCTTCCAGTAATTCGCCAAAATGACGAACACAAAGGGAAAGAGGAGAGGCACCCCATATATGTTCTCTAGGCCTTTTAGAAAACATGGAGTTGTTTGTTTGGCCACATATATGCGAATCTATAAGAAAGGTGATATTGTAGACATCAAGGGAATGGGTACTGTTCAAAAAGGAATGCCCCACAAGTGTTACCATGGCAAAACTGGAAGAGTCTACAATGTTACCCAGCATACTGTTGGCATTGTTGTAAACAAACAAGTTAAGGGCAAGATTCTTGCCAAGAGAATTAATGTGCGTATTGAGCACATTAAGCACTCTAAGAGCTGAGATAGCTTCCTGAAACGCGTGAAGGAAAATGATCAGAAAAAGAAAGAAGCCAAAGAGAAAGGTACCTGGGTTCAACTAAAGCGCCAGCCTGCTCCACCCAGAGAAGCACACTTTGTGAGAACCAATGGGAAGGAGCCTGAGCTGCTGGAACCTATTCCCTGTGAATTCATGGCATAATAGGTGTTAAAAAAAAAAATAAATAAAGGACCTCTGGGCTATAAAAAAAAAAAAAAAAAAAAGAACAGTAAAATCTCAGTCCCTTCGCAGTTCTTCATATGAAGGTTCTTAGGTACCTCCAAACCCCATGTTACAAAGTATGTGGGTAAGAAAAAGCCCTACAAGATGTGTAAAATTTGCTCTGCCCAGGCAGACTGTGGTGATTGCATGTGGTGGACGAGGAGGCAGGAATGTTTCCAGAAGCCTACAGGGTTTTGGGAACTTCTTATTCCAGGAGCACAGGATGTTTTCTTCATTTTGACATATGCACCATTGACAATGAAGCTGTAGAGACCAGAGGGGTGGGGTCCTATCTAAATCACATGGAATTCTGGGTCCTCTCTGTTTAGTCCTTTCCCATAATTACTTAACATAAATTTTGAATTTACAAATTACAAATACATACACAAAATGATACCACATATTTTACAAGGATATAAACATATTCAACAATGTATATTGCTTATACACTGGAATAGGTCCTTATGATAGAGAAAAGAATAGGAGTGAAAATCAAAGATAAGGGAGCAAATTAGAACAAAACAAGAGAAGATCTTTGCAAAGACTTTGATGATGGTAGCATGCCATAAGTAACTCAGCTTTCTCCACCTTAGATCCAAAACCAAAATACAATGCAATATAGGTTACATTTTACCATATTTCAGCAAACCACCCGAAATTGGGTGACAGATGTCAACCTCAATTCCCACCAAATCCAGATACAAGGCTTACTTGAGCTTGACTAACTCCAATTTGAATTCTGGATTCTATATCCTTTTCCAAGGGGGTAGACATTTCCAAGTCTTATACATTAGGATGGACCCCTATGATGGAGAGGGGAATAAGGGTGTGGATCAAGAATGAAGAAAAAAATCAAGTGAAAGAGGGTCCTTGCTCAGACTGATGATGATAGCATGCCATTTTAGGTACAAAAAATTACACACATATATATATATATATATGTATGTACATATATATATATGTGTGTGTGTGTGTGTGTGTGTATATATATATATATATATATATATATATATATATGCATATAACATTCTGTCAAACAACCTGTAATGGTTTGAGACATGTGAATCCAAATTCCAACTCCAATTTGAATAGGTTTTATTCTTTTTCTGAATCTTGAGCTCTGTCATCTATTCACTGTGTTGCTTCTGCTCTTAGAACTAGGCATTTGACTATCAAACTTACTTTTCATCTTTACAACTTTTTTTTCTTTTCCTTTTTTCTTTTTTCTTTTTTTTTTTTTTTTTTTTTGAGAGAGTCTCATTCTATTGCCCAGGCTGGAGTGCAGTGGTGCGATCTCGGCTCACTACAACTTCTGCCTCTCGGATTCAAAGGATTCTCATGCCTCAGCCTCCTGAGTAGCTGGAATTACAGGCATGTGCTACCAAGCCCAGCTAATTTTTGTATTTTTAGTAGAGACAGGGTTTCACCATGTTGGCCAGGCTGGTCTTGAACTCCTGACCTCTAGTGATCTGCCTGCCTCAGCCTCCCAAAGTGCTAGGATTACAGGCGTGAGCCACCGTGTCTGGCCATCTTTACAAGTTTCTTATTCCCTCAGAATAGGATCACCCTGGTCCTTCAGGGTCCAACAGCTTCTGTCCCTCAGCCCACTTGGCTGGCACCATGGCCAGGTTATATTGGACCTTCTGGTGGAACCACACAGAACATAGAATGTGACTTGGTGGATGAGCAGGAGTCTCAGAATTGGTGGGGAATACGAAAGCCTCTGAGGGATATCGTGAGCAACTCTTTCTATCGTAAGACAGTGGTGGTGGGTGGGCGATGGGAAGCAGTTGTAATATGGGAGACAAAGGATGAAGAGGTTGAGGGAGAAAGATAAAATAATGAGAGAAGAGACAAGGAGGTGACCATGAAAGAAACTAAAGTTAATTTCTTATTACAATTTATCAGTGTTCAGCATAGGATCTGTGAGTTTCAGAGTAAGTGGGTTGGGGCCAGTGAGGCAGCCATACTTGAATGATCCAAGAGCATCAGATGGAAAGGAAATAGAACATACACCTTCAGCCCTCTTGGAGTTGGACCAATGGATATCTAAATAGTAGATGAGTGGGCTGTGACAGTAATGAATGTCCAAAGGGAAGTCTCTCCTTTTATTTCACAATTATGAACAAACAAAAATGCTTAACGTATTAGAAATTTGCTAGTTTATACAAGGAGCCTGCCAATTTCACATACCAGCTACTGACTTACTGTGATTATTTTTTGTTTGATATTAAACTTCTTCCCATTATCCCTTGTCCAGAGCATTTTCAAGGAATGACAATTAAGGAAAGAAGACTGGTTGTGGGTTCCATGGAATGATTTTTTTTTCTTTTTTTTGTATACCACACACAAGACTAAGTGGCCATCCTCTTATGTTCAGTGGTTTGAATGGGATAGAAGTTCATTTCTTCCTCACGTAATAGTTCGGGGGGAGCATTCCAGGGCTGTCATGATGATTCAATGGTGTCAGATCTCAGCCTCATTTTAGCTGGTTTTTCTACTATATCTAGTGTATGTCCCTTGTCCTTAAAGGTACAGATTGTTCATCCCATATCCCTGATCCAAGTAGCAAGATATAGGATTTGGAGGAAAGAAGGTAATCTCCTTCCCTTTCCTGTCACAAATGAAAAGTTGCACTCAATACTTGGCTGACATCCCAGTGGCCAACACTTCATCACAATACTATAACTAGCTGCAAAGGGGCTTGCAAAATGTGGTATTATGGGCTAAATGTTTGTGTCCTCCCTCAAATGTATGTGCTGAAATCCTTATCCTCCATGTGATGGCATTAGGAAGTATGGCCTTTGAGGGGGTGATTAGGTCATAAGGGTGGAGCCTCTATGAATGGGATTAGTGCCTCTACAGGAAGAGACATGAGAGAGCTTTCCACCCTCTTCCTGCCATGTGAGGATACAATGAGAAGTTGGGAGTCTGCAACCTGGAAGTGGGTCCTCACCCAAACTTGACCATGCTGGCACCCTGATCTCAGACTCCCAGCCTCTAGAACTGTAAGAAATACATTTCTGTTGTTTATAAGATGCCCAGTTCATGGTATTCTGTTATAGCAGCCTCAACTATGACATGTAGTACTTGCAGGGTTGCCATATGTCCACCTAAAATTTTTATTACTCATGAAAAAGGGGAATATAGGAATATTGGGCAATAACTACCAGTATTAGCCATAGTAAGATATTCACAGAAAATTTGATCTGAGATTTTTTTGGGGGTGCCAGTGATAAGAGCTTATTCTTACAATAATGGCTGGGCATGATGGCTCACACTTATAATTTTAGCACTTTGGGAGGCCAAGGGGGGGTATCGCTTGAATCTAGGAGTTCAAGACAAGCCTGCGGAATATGGTGAAACCCTCTCTCCACTAAAAATACAAAAATTAGTCAGGCGTGGTGGCATGTGCCTGTAGTCCCAGCTACTTGGGAGATTGAGGCAGGAGGATCACTTGAGTCCAGGAAGTCAAGGCTGCAGTGAGCCAAGAAAAAAAAAAGAAAGAAAGAAAGGACTTGCTTACTTTCACAGTAATGAAGACTATCAAGAGTTCAGTACAAATAATTTAAATGTCTGACATGACCTCAGGCCTTGAGGAACTTATAGCTTCACCGAGGGAGATGATAGAAATATAAACCAATTATTTCAATAGGAAATAAGATTGAAGATTAAGTATTCACAAAATGCTATGAGAAGACAAGCATGGAAAAATTGATCCATATATGAGTTCTTTAAAGACTCCTTTGCTGAACACCAAAGATGAATCAAGTCTCAAAGGAATAAAAATATATAGGATTAAACACAAAGAACTACAGAAATTAAACATTCAAACAATTTTCAACAATACCTCCTTACTAATAACTAGAGGTTAATTCCTTTGGTGAAGTTATAAAGTCATCAGTGGCCCCGGCAATATCTTCAGTGACGTTTTCAGTGGGTCTGCAGCCTCCAAAGAGCTGTAGCACATTCCAGTTTTGCTACAGCTGTTCCAAAGAATTCAGGGAACCAGCCCTTGGTGGGGCAGACCTCCTTCTGTCCTTTAAAAGAGAAACAGTTAAGAGGTCTGTTTGCTTGGTCATACCCTCCATGAGTAAAACTATACTAAGGAGAAGAATGCAAGAAATCACCTGGTTTCACTGGCTCTCACTCCCACCTACTACAGGATCTCAGGATTCTGCAAGGACCCTTCCAAACCCAGGTATTTCTAAAGGTCCGCAGGGTGTCTCTCCCATGTGTCCCCAAACAAGGCTAGTCAGTTACCTTACAGTGACAGTCATTTTGTTTCCTCTCCTCTCACCCCAACCCTTCTCCCCTTGCTGATTGGTTTTACCTGGAGAAGGAGGGGGATGTGTAAAACCAACCAGCAAGATGATCCTGCCACTTCTCCTGGCTGTGCCTGCTGGACTCTTCTAACTACTTGATGCTTCCAATACAGTAGAGCCCTGGATATGCCAATGTTGTGTGCAGATTGTCTCTTCTCCTTTTAGAAGCTTACCCATCCAGTGCTGCCGCCTTGCTGAGGTTTTGTGAAAGAACTCTTCATTTTTGAGTTTATCTCTACCTTCCATTCCATGCCCTGTGCTGAAATGCGAGTCTTCAGGGCCTGATCTAATGGCAAACCCAAGTTGAGGACATCATATAGTACTCAGAATTGCCCCTCCCCTCCTGCCACTTTGACATATATTCCCTTTTCTCTGGCAAGATTCTCTCCAGAGGGCTCCTCCTTTACTCTTGCAAATAGACTTCTTGAAGGCCTGCCCCTGCTGCTCACCGGGAAAGGCCTGACATGTCTGAATTCCACTTGAGTTCAAAGTGGGACAGATTCCAACACCAACTTGAGGAAAGAGGAGGTGTGTACTATGCTTCCTCTTTCCTGACATTGCCTCTGAGCCACATCCGCCCTCACCTTCAATCTAACCGTAGAAATCAAGTTTCATCTGAAACCCAGAAGCCCATCTCTTTGGTATTTTGGCACAGAACAGTCATCCAGAGGAGAAGCACTTTTCAGTGCAACAGAGATTTAAGAAATATCTCCTAATGCTGATGTGCTCTCCCTTTTTTTGGTAATCTGGTTGTCTTCCCTGCAGCCCCTTTGCTATTCTAACCCCAGGAAAGTGTGTGTGTGTGTGTGTGTGTGTGTGTGTGTGTGTGTGTGTGTGTGTGTTTAGTGACAGCTCCTGTCAGATAAGAAGGGGAAATAGAAAGCCTCCTCAGTATTGGGTGAGAAGAAGGAAGGAAGCAAAGGTTACGCTATGGGATGGGAGTGTCCAGGCGCAATAAGAGTTTACTTAGGTGAGCCAACAAGGGTAAGGGGAAGCATGAAAGAAGTGGATTTCAGAAGGCTTTTTTTTTTTTTTTTTTTTTTTTTGCATGCTAATGGGCCCTTTGGGTGGCTGGTGCTTACTTCGGCAGTTCTCCGCTGAGATGATTGCCTGTTGTCTTTTATTCTAGCCAAAGCTGTTGGTTGTATCTGGCTCTTGACTGCAGCCTGCTCTAATATCCCTGATGCTAATTTGAGTGAGGCGGAGGTTAGAGGAAAACCACATTAGTTTAACAACATGGATTCGTGATTTTCACCAGTGGCATAATTCATGCTGGCAAACAAAAATTACTTCACTTGCTTAGGTGATTTTAGAAGTGAGTTATTGGGAGATCGTCAACTCTAGCTCCCGAGGGTAGCCCATTAACATTGTGTGGAATGACAACAGATGCTGGCAGTAAATTGCAAACAGTGACTATGCAATCAGCTGTGGGCTTTTAGAGCTAAGCATCTGTGGGCATTTAACCACTTGCACTTCTGCCACACACTCTTTCCAAGGAGATATTCCACAGCTCATTTAGCTGATCAGCACAACAAGGACCCTTAGCTGGAAAGGAAGTAAATAATGATTTAGGTCATTTGTCTTATTCCTAGTGAAAAAGAAAAGCATTGTATTAATGAATTCAGCATTTGGACCTGAATACATAATGTCCTTTCGTGGCAACAAAGAGCAATTAGAGCAATTTTACCTGTTCTGAAAGCTTTGCATTTTTCATCCTCTGAGGATTATAGAGAACTGTATTGGATGATTTACCAGATGGGGGAATCTGAATCCTGTAAATACGGAGAAGAAATAATGGTCTCTGAATTTCATCAATGATCTATATTCCCCAAAAAGAATTAGAACTGCTTCCTATATACAAAAACATATTTACTAAGTGGAAATTTTATTACCTGGGTATTGAATTCAGTGATACCAAGGGCTTCCCTTTGTAGACAAAGGTCCATCTGCCCAGGCTGGGTTTCTATCCTTTTACTAACTAAATGCAATTAAACAATGGCTTTGAAGTAGTATTCAATTTTTGGATGGGTTTGATACTTTAGCTTTTTAAAAAATGCCAGTTGAACCATTTCTTTTGGGGTGTCGGATCTTTAATATAAACTTTCCCTTTTTACCCATTAGTGAGCAGACTTAATAAGGGTCCATCATGTAGGGAACAGGGCTTGCACAGATACTTGGGGATGGGGAGTGGTGAGCACAGTAAAGATGGCTCATCTCATGGATTTTTTTTCCCTTGACTTTGTCACTGCTTCCTCCAACATTTTTCATCACAGCCCAAAAAACAGTTACTCTGCAACCTGAAAAACTGGTGAAAGTAAATCACTTTAGGAGAATGCACTCTGGAAGCAGAAGTTCAGCACCTGCTGCTTCACTTTTCTTTCTTTCTTTTTTTTTTTTTTTTTTTTTTGAGACAGAGTCTTGCTCTGTTGCCCAGGCTGGAGTACAATGGCACGATCTCTGCTCACCACAACCTCCGCCTCCTGGGTTCAGACAATTCTCCTGCCTCAGCCTTCTGAGCAGCTGGGACTACAGGCATGTGCCACCACACCCAGCTAATTTTTGTATTTTTAATAGAGACGGGGTTTCACCATCTTGGCCAGGATGGTCTTGATCTCTTGACTTCGTGATCCACCCGCCTCGGCCTCCCAAAGTGCTAGGATTACAGGCATGAGCCACTGCGCCCAGCCTGCTACTTCACTTTCTGATGCCTCCTGCCCTCTTCCTTCCCCTCCCACCAGACAAGCAAGCCCAACTGTCAATCTTTTTTTTTTTTTTCTGACAGGGTTTCGCTCTGTGGCCCAGACTGGAGTGCAGTGGTGTGATCATGGTTAACTGCAGCCTCAATCTTCCCAGCTCATGAGATCCTCCTGCCTCAACCTCTGAAGTAGCTGGAACTACAAGTGCTTGCCACAATGCCCAGCTAATTTTTAAATTTTTTTAGAGATAGAGTCTCACTATGTTACCCAGGCTGGTCTGAAACTCCTGGGCTCAAGCGATCCTCCAGCCCGGCCTCCCAAAGTTCTTGGATCTGTCCTTTTCCTAGCATTGGTTCAAGCAACTAAATAGATGGTATGATTCACTCTGATTTTGGTTTTATTTCTATCAAATAATTTTTCCCTAAAGGTACCTATTTTGAACTACTGTGGAGTAGGGAGAAGATTACTCAACAAGAAATTAATATTTAATGTACATGCTATGGATAAAGTTATAACTGAATTCACAAAACATTTGCATTCCTGTTCAACTAATAACAGATTTCTGATATTTCTTTAACTGCCTGTGCCTTCTTTCCTTTTAGTCTTGATGGGTCATATTTGAAATCCATTTCTTTCATGCCCCTCCTTGCCTTTGTTGCTCACCTAAGTGAACTGGGTATTTTCTCTTACTGGGTCCTTATTATGTCTATTTTGGGGGTTTTCCAAAATTCCCCTCAGAGAGCTTAACATCTAGTCATTTACATCACTCCTTGACCTTTGTTGGTACTGCAAAGCTTTTTATCTTCTTTCTCTTTCTTTTCCATGTTTTTCTGTTCCTCCCCTCCCCCAACCTTTTTTTGTTTTGTTTTGTTTGTTTTTGTTTTTTGAGACAGGGTCTCACTCTGGCACCCGAGCTAAAGTGCAGCGGCACAATCATGGCTCACTGCAGCCTTGACCTCCCAGGCTCAAGCAATCCTCCCACCTCAGCCTTCCAAGTAGCAGGGACTATAGGTGCGTGCCACCATGCCCAGCTAAGTTTTGGATTTTTTTGTAGAGACAGGGTCTTGCTATGTTGCCCAAGCTGGTCTCAAACTCCTGGGCTCAAGCAGTCCTCCTTCCCCAGCCTCCCAAAGTGCTGGGACTATAATCATGAGCCACCTCACCTAGCTGCTCCCCACTTATCCATAATCTCTTCTCTCAGAATTGCAGACTGCTGCTACTTCCACTGCTTCTTGCCCCTGCATCCTCAACTCTCCTCCCAGGTGTTCTACTGATTATATGGTTTGTCTGTGTCCCCACCCAAATCTCATCTTGAATTGTAGCTCCCACAATTCCCATGTGTTGTGTGAGGAGACCTGATGGCAGGTCATTGAATCTTGGCGGTGGATCTTTCCCGTGCTGTTCTCCTGATGGTGCATAAGTCCTACGAGATCTGATGGTTTTATAAGGGACAACCCCTTTCACTTGGTTCTCATTTTTTCTCTTGCCTGCTGCCATGTAAGACATGCCTTTCAACTTGCGCCATGATTGTGAGGCCTCCCCAGCCACGTGGAACTGCAAGTTCATGAAACCTCTTTTTGTTTATAAATTACCCAGTCTCGGGTATGTCCTTATCAGCAGCATGAAAACAGACTAATACAACTGACCTAGGTAACATTCTCCCAGTTGGGTGGAGCTTCTCAGCCATTTCCGGTAGATGGCTGCATATTGCTTCAACATGAAACCCTATGATTTGGATAGAAAATGATGAGCGTCTAAGCTGTGTTTCCTCAAACCAGAACTAGCAGTCTAGGTAGAAAATGTCTTCCTTCTCTGTAGTTTGCTTGAGCAAAGTATAATTTTCAAAAATTTAAAAAGAATTCTCAGACACAGGATGGGCAAGTGTCAGTTTCTGAGCGGGCTTCAGGTAGCTCTGTCAGTGACAGCTTCTCATTGCCAAGGGCCCACACAGACTGCAGGGTACAGGAGCACAAGGGAAGCCTGTGTGTTGGCTCCTTAAAAAACAGGCTTCTGAAGGTGACAGATGGAAAGAAAGCATTATTTTTATAGGACCTACAAAATCCAAACGGTATAAAAGTTTGTTTGCCACATCTACCAGAGTCCTGGACTTAAGAATTCAACAAATACTGTTTTCCTTGAGCCAGATGCACCTCAGGGCACTTAATTGTGACTTCCAGACACAGTAAGTCATGTTTCCTTCTGGCATTAGGGGAGACTAAATGCAGACAGGAAAGGAATTCTGCTCCCTGTCCTCTGCAGTGAATTCTCCTGTGGGTGTTTGGGGTAGAGGAAGAGGGCGGGAATGATCTCCCTTCTGGGTTTGGTGTGGCAACTTATGAGCCAAAATGTGTACACAGCATAGGAGGGGTCTGGTCCCAGAATTGGAAGTACCTGTGGGTTTTCTGGTACCACAGTCTGTTTCCAAAACGGGCCTTTGCCAAGTCTGTGCCAGAAGAGGGCTGCTCTTTGTAAGGCTCTGCCGTACTCCAGGAGCTGGGATTGACCTGGCCACAAATAAAACAATAACGCAAGAAGCTGCTGTGATACTCTGGTCTTTGCAGCACAACAGAGAGGTTAAGAATATGGTCTTTGGAGTTAGACAACCCAAGTTCAAATTCCAGTGACTTTGTTAGGATCTGGAGCCAGAATGTCCAGATTAAAATCCCGGCTCTACTACTGATCAACCCTGTGATCTTGGGCAAGTTCCTTAACCTCTTTGTGCCTCTGTCCATATGTAAAATGAGGACAATCTGTGACTATCTCATTGGCCTGTTTGTGAGAATTAAATGAGTTACTTCAGTTAAGGCACTTAGATCATGCAGGGCATGAAATAAGTGCTGGATAAATGTTTGGCTTCTCCTTTCTGCCAGCTTAATTTAAACACCTTGAGTAAGTGGCAGAAACCATGCACAGCAAGCTGAAGGAAAAACAAAACAGGTGGTGGTGGTGGTGTTTTTTATAAGAATATAGGGATGACTCATGGAAATCTAAGAAGAGGAATGCAGATGGGCCTCGGATGAAGAGACAGGGACTGAGTTGCCATTAGAATGCTTTTCCCCAGATGCCTTGAATTCTCTAAAATGTTGTCTGAACCCATAAGTTTTTAATCTGTAATTGACTTATGTGTGTAATATGATCCAGTAAGATTTTTCTCCATTTAGATTGTCTGAGCATTACTTATTGGATATCTTATTCTCCCACTGAATTATAATACTACCCCTGTGTTATGTTAAAAACATATGCATGTGGGCCAGGAATGGTAGCTCACACCTGTAATTCCAGCACTTTGGGAGGCCTGAGATGGCTGGATCACCTGAGGTCAGGAGTTCAAGACCAGCCTGGCCAATGTGGCAAAACCCCATCTCTACTAAAAATACAAAACAAAACAAAACAAAACAACATATGCATGTGTACCTACACCTAGGTTTTTTATTTTATTTCATTGGTTGTCTATCCCTATCCTAATATCACATTGTCTTAATTATATGGCTTTATAATAATCTTGATATCGGGGTGGGGTCGGGGTGGGGGACAAGGTGGCTCACACCTGAAATCCCAGCACCCTGGGAGGCCAAGGTGGGAGAATTGCTTGAGGCCAGGAGTTTGAAACCAGCCTGGGCAACACAGTGAGATCCCATCTCTAAAAAATCTTTTTTTGAAAAATTAGCCAAGTGTGGTGGCACATGTCTATAGTCCTAGCTACTTGGGAGGCTGAGGTGGAAAGATCTCTTAAACCCAGGAGTTCAAGGTTGCCGTGAGCTATAATCACACTGCTGCACTCCAGCCTTGGTGACAGAGTGAGACTCTGTTTCTAATCATCATCATCATCGTCATCATCTTGATATCTGGAAGTACAGATTTCCCTAGTTGTTCTTTTTTCAGAAATATCTTAGCTATTATCGGATCCTTATTCTTTGGGATAGTTTAAAATAAGGCTGTAAACTCTGACATTTCCCATTGAGAGATAGGGTCTCTGTCCCTTCCCCTTGTTATGTAGCATTACTTCAACTGTATTGGCTGAAGTAGTCACAAGCCCATTGTTATGAACAGAATTGTTCCCCTCCGCCTTTCATATATTGAAGCCCTAGTCCTCAGTGTGACTGTATTTGGAGATACAGCCTTTAAGGAGATAATTAAGGTTAAATGAGGTCATCAGGGTGGAACCTTAATCTGATAGGACTGGTGTCCTTATAAGAGAAAGAGACATTACAGATTCTCTCTCTCTCTCCTACATGCACGGAGAGTAAAGTCCATGTGAGGACACAGCAGGAAGGTAGCTGTCTGCAAGCCAGGAGGGGAGAAGCCTCATCAGAAACCAAGTGTGCTGGAACCTTGATCTTAGACTTTCAAATTCTGGAACTATGAGAAAACAAATTTCTGTTGTTTAAACCACTCAATCCATGGTATTCTGTTATGGCAGTCCAAGCTGACTAATGTACCCACCCATGCAGTGTGTGATCCTGGACTAAAAAGAGGACATTAGTGGGACAATTGGTAAAATTGAACAAAGTCTGTACATTAATTTAATAAGACTGTATCAATATTAATTTCCTAGTTTTAATCATTGTACTATGAGTCTGTAAAATGTTGATATTTGGAGAAATATGAGAACTTTAGAACTCTGATCACCTCCCTCCTGATGTCCATTCATTTTTTTGTTCATTTTGTCTATTTTTTAAAAATTTACAAATTAATTAATAATATTTTTATAGACAATATTTGTTTAGATTTACCAGTATAAATATATGCTGGTTTATATTTACCACTATAAATATATACTGGTAAATCTAAACAGACATGGTCTATAAAATATATACCAGTATATAAATATATACTGGTAAATACTATATATTTACCAATTTGTTTGTTTCTCATTCTTTCTTACATCTCAGAATTTCTTTCTAGAATCACTTTCTTCTTTTTAAAGAACATCCTTTAAAAATTCCAGTGGTGTAGAACACTCATCCCCAGTTTTTATTATCATTGTCTTTATTTCATCCTCATTCTTGAATGATAGTTTTTCTGGGAGCACATTTCTAAATTAGTAGTTAATTTCTCTCAACATTTAAAAAAATGTTTATTATGGCTTTAGTTTTATTGTTGAGATGTCTGTTGTCAGTTTGTCATTTTTCATAGGTTATGTTTTCCCTCTGAGTGCTTTTAAGATCTTCTCTTTGTCTTTGATGTTCTGCAGTTTCATTACACACAAATTTTCAATTTATCATGTTTAGTTTACATTGTACCTTTGCAATGATATCTTTTCTTTTCTGAAAAAAAAAATGCAGCCATTATGTCTTTAAAAATTTTTTATTGGCCGGGCACGGTGGCTGACGCCTGTAATCCCAGCACTTTGGGAGGCCGAGGCAGGCAGATCACAAGGTCAGGAGGTCGGGACCATCCTGGCTAACACGGTGAAACCCTGTCTCTACTAAAAATACAAAAAATTAGCCAGGCGTGGTGGTTGGCACCTGTAGCAGCTACTCAGGAGGCTGAGGCAGGAGAATGGCGTGAACCCGGGAGGCGCAGCTTGCAGTGAGCCGAGATTGCGCCACTGCACTCCAACCTGGGCGACACAGCAAGACTCTGTCTCAAAAAAAATAAAAATTTTTTTTAAATTTTATTTCATTAGTTGTTTTCATTCTCTTTATTCTTACGGAACGTCAAGTGGATACCTCCTTTTGTTGCATATCTTTTACCATCTCTTTACTTTTTTTTCTATCTGCCATGCTGCATTTTTCAGATATGGCTTTTGTTAGTTTTCTTTTGTGCTATGTATAGCCTTCTATTTAGCCCATCTGTTGAGTTTTTTATTATACAATTTTATGTTTCATGTCTGGTTCTTTTTCAGATCACTTTTGGAGATTTAGTTCTTGCTCAATTTTGTGACCCCTTTCTAATTTTTTCAAATATTTTATATATGGCTTTTAAATTCCGTGTCTGATATTCAATATATGTAGTTCTTATGTTATTATATTATATATATTATGTTATTATATTATATATATATATTATATATATTATATTATATATATTATGTTATTATATTATATATATATATTATATATATATAATATTAATAATATTAATTATATTAATTATATTTATTATAATATATTATATATTATATTATAAAATAATAATATATTTTATATTATATTATAAAATATAATATATTATTATATTATATTATATAATATATAATATATTATATATTATATAATATATTTTATATTATATTTTAAATTATATAATATATTATATATTATATAATATATAATATATTATATAATTTATAATATATAATATATTATATCATAAAATATATAATATATTATATTATATCATAAAATATATAATATATTATATCATAAAATATATAATATATTATATTATATCAAAATATATAATATATTATATTATATCAAAATATATAATATATTATATCATAAAATATATAATATATTATATTATATTATATCATAAAATATATAATATATTATTATATTATATTATATCATAAAATATATAGTATATTATTATATTATATTATAAAATATATATTATTATATTATATTATAAAATATATATTATTATATTATATTATAAAATATATAATATATTGTTATATTATATTATAAAATAATAATATATCATTATATTATAAAATATATAATATATTATATTATATTATAAAATATATAATATAATATATTATAAAATATATAATATATTATATTATATTATAAAATATATAATATATTAAATATAATATATATTAATAATTATATTACAATAATATAATATAATATTATAATATTATATTATATATATTATCTTATATTATGTAGTTATTATATTAGGTCCAATGTATGTGTGGTTTCTGATGACTCTTACTCATGGTGTTGTGTTTATTTTGGGTTTGATGAACCTTATTGTGAGTTAATACTTGAGAGCATGCATTGAGGATCTCCCTCAGAGAGGATCTGCAATGTTCTACTTGGGATCCAGGGGAGTTACTTGACCCGATACCGTTCATGTTCCCTTTCAGGGTCTCAGTTTGGCCTGAGAGTCTCAGCTCACTGCCCCTACCTTGCTGCTATTCCACGGCTACTCCCTTGCAGTGCTGATAGTGGCAGGTGCTTTCAGGGTATCTAGCTTTCCTTCTGTAGCAGCCAATCTTATTTGGTGTCTCTCATATCTGTCATACCCTATAAACCCAAGAGGTCTATTTTTTATGCAGGATCTAATTGTTTTGTAGAGGGAAGTTCCCTTAGAAAATTGTACTTCTTCATTTTGATTCAAGGGACTTTTCACTATCCAACATTTTCTTGTATAATTAGTTGTTTATTGTTTTATAGTCAGTTTACCTTAGTGGAATGTAAACTTCCAGAGGACAGGGACTTTGGTTTGCTGGTATATCTCCAGTGACTGGAATATAATGCTTAGTACATAGTAGAGCCTGGAACTTAATAAATATTTCTTGAATATTAAAATGAATGAATCCCATCTATAAATTCATGTGTATCAGGTGTTACATCAGGTTCTCTAGATACAAAGATGAACCTGAGAAAATGTCTTTCATAGAGGTACTTACTAGAATTAGTGTTGAAAGTAATTAGATATGAAAGTAAATAAATTAAACAAAGTACTATGGTCTCAATGTCTTTGACTCCCCAAATTTACATGTTGAAACCTAGTCCCCAATTTGATAGTATTAAGAGGGGGCCCCTTTGGAGGTAATTAACACATGAGATGAGGGTGGAGCCCTCACTAATGGAATTAATGTTCCTAAAAGAGTCCCGAGGGAGCCTATTCTCCCCTTCTACCATGTGAAGACACATAGAAGGCACCATCCATGAGGAATGACCCCTCACCATACACCAGATCTGCTCTACACCTCAGTCTTGAGCATCCCAGCCTCTAGAACTGTGAGCAATAAATTTCTGTTGTGTATCAGTGCCCCATCCAATGTATTTTGTTCTAGCATCTTGAAAAGACTAAGTACTGTAGTGCACACACAAACATACACATATGAATAAATAAGATAATATCAAGGCATATACAGCTATCTATATCCAGAGCCTATATGTCATGTTCAGTAGTTCTTACCTCATTATGTAAGTTATTATAAGTCATATCTAGGGAAAGCAATATGATTGATTTTATTCTTTGGATACACTCTGGCAGAGAGTGGTGGGTGATCAGAGCAAACACGACTGAAGGCAGGGAAAGAAGATAAGAGATTACTGCAGTTCGTGCTTCATCTATTCAAAAAGGTAGGGTTTTGTTTTGTTTTGTTTTGTTTTTTGAGTGCCGGCGATAAATCAGGCACCTTTCTAGGCACTGAGGAAATACCTATGAATAAGACAATTAAGGTCCTGCTGTCACAAAACTTATATTCTGGTTGACTAAAACTAAATAAATAAGTAAATGAATTAACACATAGATAATTTCTCTCTCTCTCTCTCTCTGTCTCTCTCTCTCTCTCTGTCTCTCTCTCTCTCTCTCTCAATAGGGTCTCACTCTGTCGCCCAGGCTGGAGTGCAGTGGCATGGTCTCAGCTCAGTGCAACCTCCACCTTCTGGGTTCAAGCGATTCTCCTGCCTCAGCCTCCAGAGTAACTGGAATTATAGGCACCTGCCACCATGTCTGGCAAATTTTTGTATTTTTTGATGGAGATGGGGTTTCACTATGTTGGCCAGGCTGGTCTCACACTCCTGACTTCAAGTGATCCACCAGCTTTGGCCTCCCAAAGTGCTGGGATTACAGGTGTGAGAACACATAGATAATTTCAGACAGTAGTAGGTTTTGTAAAGGAAACAGAACCAGGGTTGTTGGAAACAGAGCTGTCAGTGGGGCAGGGTAGTAGCTACCCAAGGAAGGCCTCTTGGAAGAGGCAGCATATGAACAGAGACCTGAACGACAAGAAAGAGGCAAGAACATTTTGGGCAGAGAGAATGGCAAGTGCAACCCTATGTTTTGTGCTTTCAAGGATCAGAAAGTAGACCGGTGTACCTGGCACCAAAGTGATAGAAGAGCATTTGTGGAGTCTGGAGAAGTAGGCAGGCGTCAGACCACCTAGGTCCTTATAGGCCATGGTAATGAGTTTAGATGTTGTTCAAAGGGCAATGGGAAGCTGCCGGAGGATCTGGAGCGGGCGGGGAGGGGGGACATAATACTACTTAAATCTTTTTTTTTTTTTTTTTTTTTTTTTGAGATGGAGTCTCGCTCTGTCACCCAGGCTGGAGTGCAGTGGCGCGATCTCGGCTCACTGCAAGCTCCGCCTCCCGGGTTCACGCCATTCTCCTTCCTCAGCCTCCCAGGTATCTGGGACTACAAGCGCCCGCCACCACGCCCGGCTAATTTTTTTTTGTATTTTTAGTAGAGACGGGGTTTCACCATGTTAGCCGGGATGGTCTCGATCTCCCGACCTCATGATCCACCCGCCTCGGCCTCCCAAAGTGCTGGAATTACAGGCGGGAGCCACCACGCCCGGCCTCTACTTAAATCTTTAAAAGTTTATTCATGTGACTGCTCTTTGAAGAAAGGTCAGCAGTAGTCCAGGAAAGAAGTGTATGAACTACTAGATTGGGCAAGATATGAAGAGGCCCGGGCTCAGGCACGGAGACTATCCAGGCTGACCTCTCCCCTTCCTGGACTTAAGTTCTTCTATAGGTTATTTGCCTCTGAATCCCTAATGCAACCTAGTGCCTGGTACACAAAGGAGATGAAGAGCACTTCAAAAAGTGCTTGAGTGCACAAATGGCTACCAGAGGATTCTGTTCTTAGATGGCATCAGCTGGTAAACTCAGTTACTTAAAGGATAATGTTAAGCTGTATGCTCAGTTGCAATGTGGGTCAGTTAAATTTAGAGATGCTCCTTGGTCACAAATCATGGTTACATTGTAATCATGGCAGTTAGGGTAACATTATTATTTGTTTTTGTTTTTGTTTTTCTGAGACAGAGTCTCCCTCTGTTACCCGGACTGGAGTGCTGTGGCATGGTCTTGGCTCACTGCAACCTCCACCTCCCAGGTTCAAGCGATTCTCCTGCCTCAGCCTCCCAAGTAGCTGGGATTACAGGCACACGCCACCATGCGTGGCTAATTTTTGTGTTTTTAGTAGAGACGGGGTTTTGCCATGTTGGCTAGGCTGGTCTAGAAATCCAGACCTCAGGTTATCTGCCCACCTTGGCCTTCCAAAGTGCTGGGATTACAGCATGAGCCACCATGCCCGGCCCATTATTTGTTTTGCAAACGCCTTTTGCCACAACAAGTCTGGGTAATTCTGTGTATACAATCCAGTTCAAATCTTGTCACCACTACTAGAAATTAATTGCAAAGAAATATGTACTGTGTTTTTTTTGCCAGTAACATTATCATCACATACAAGAAGATAACGTATGTTTGAGAATTTTTATTGCTAATAAGTATCAGGCTTTAGAGATGATTTCATTTAGAATTGCCAATGGAATATTCTATTTATGTAAAGAAAACTAGTCTCATTTAAAAAAAAAAATATTTCCAGGAAACAACTACTCCTCTAGAGAAGTAGGAGTATAAAATTCTAGTCAAGAATATGGCTTTGGAGACAAACATGGCTGAGTTTGAGTACTAACACTGCCACTCTTGGGTAAGGAATTTCCTAAATTTTGATTTTTGGAAGATAATTCCTGTGTCCAGAGTTGTTGTGGAGACTGAAAAAGATAGTACCATTTCTTTAGGCTTCTCAGCATCTAAACTCTTTCTGTGTTATAGAATTCCCCATTTATGGGTAATGGATGGGACAAAGATCCTTCTACTTTGTAGATGTTGAAAGTGCTTAATACTTATTTTCTTGGGTACTTTATTTTCCTTGCAATGAGGACAGATCCATGTAACCTTGGGCTTCATCATTCAGCTGTAATAAAACCAAATTATGATGCAGGAACTAATGGCATAGGAGGGAAGGATCTGGGAGCACTCTCTAAAGGCAGCAGGGGTGGTTGCAGCAGTGGCGACCAGTTGCGTTCTTGGTACAGAAGTAACATCAGTGTGGGCAGCATTAACTGCATTAAAACTGGTTCTTGGTGCAGAAGTGGCATCAGTGCAAGGTGTACCATCTAGTGCTTGGTGACAGTGATGGTAGTTTCCTCATTGGCCCAGTTCTGTGGCATTACTCCTGGAAATTCAGCCAAAAGCCTGTTTCTCCAGGCTGCCCAAGCAAGTCTACGAGCATTGATTAAGCTCTTCTACAGTGTAGTCAGCTGGAGTTAGCTTCGGTTGCTGGAACCAAGAACTCTGGTTGATTTGGATTTTACACCTGTGCTCCCAGCACAGTGACTAACAGAGAATACTCAGTAAGTGTGGCTATTAGTAGCAGTATTTATAACAACATATTCCTAACTTCACCTGTAAAATGTCAAATTTTATAATAAATTTTAGTGAATTTGATCCAAATTTAAGAGCTATATTTAATCTTGTCTTTATTGGTTCATCTCTTTGAAATCTATTTATATTCTGAATTATACCTTAATTAATATAAGATTATTTCCTAGACTGTAACATTCTTGAAAGCAAAGATTGTCTTTTTCGCAAATGAATTATTTGCTGGCATAGAGCCTGACACAGGTGGACCCTTAGTAAATATTTGTGGAGGAAGTACATGGAGAGGTAATTGATGATATAGAAGTGCCATCTCAGGAGCATGGCTGGCAGACCTCTTAGGCAGACCTCTAAGTTGGCATTATCTCAGTGAGGTAGTTTGGTCCAGGATTGGTTTTCAGATCTATAACCCTAGAAACTTAATATTACACTTTAGCCAAAGGTGATCACATCACTCTCTTGGACATAGACTCAGACTAAGCAAACTCAGAAGAGACAGATGTATAAGATATAGTTATTTTTGCTAAGAAATATAACTTTGGGGTGTTCTGGAATGCTGCTCACTTACTCATTTAATAACTTGATTTTGATAAGTGTTTAATATGTGTCAGCTACTACTATGTAATTGTATAAACAGTGAACAAAACAGATAAGATTGCTGCTGTCATGCAATTTGCACAGCTGTGTCAACAAAGAAATATTTAATTGTAGATAATGGTAACTGTCATAAAGAAAAATATAGCAGGATAAGGTGATGAAAATTGTTGGGAAGAAGTGTGTACTATTTTAAATCGGATAACCAGGGAATATGCCCCTCAGAAGGTTACATTTAAGCTGAAACCTGAATGAAGTGGAGGAGACTGTAGCAGGTAGGGAAAATATTACATGCAAAGGCTCTAAAGCGCAGAAATAATTTGGGGGTTGGGGAGGTGTTGAAGAATAAAAAGTAGGCCAGTGGCCAGATGCGGTGGCTCACGCTTGTAATCCCAACACTTTGAGAAGCCAAGGTGGGCGATCACTTGTGGCCAGGAGTTCGAGACCAGCCTGGCCAACATGATGAAATCCTGTCGCTACGAAAAATACAAAAATTAGCCAGGCATGGTGGCACATGCCTGTAATCCCAGCTACTGGGGAGGCTGAGGCACGAGAATCACTTGAACCCAGGAAGCAGAAGTTGCAGTGAGCCGAGATCGCGCCACTGCACTCCAGCCTGGGTGACAGAGCAAGACTCCATCTAAAAAAAAAAAAAAAAAAAAAAAGTAGACCAGTGTGGTAGGCAGCCTCTAAAATGACTCCCAATGAACTCTGGGAGAGTGAAACTCCCTCCCCTAGGGTGTGGACTGGATTTAGTCACTAGCCTCCAATGAATAGAATGCTGTAGAGGTGATGAAATGTCACTGCCAATGTTAGGTTAAAAATGTTGGCTTCTGTCTTGAGCATTTTTTTTTCTCTCTTGTTCTCTTGCTGTGCAGAAAAAGATTAACATAGCAGAACCGAGACTGCTATCCTTAGAAATGCCAGCTTGTAAGGTTGGCCATTGGCTGGCATCTGGGAACTTGACAGGTAAATAGGTCCCTATGCTAATATAACTCTCCCTAAATGATGAGGGAGGCTCACTATGCCTAGACTGTTTGTGCAAACAATATGGCTTATGCTGAATACCCGCTTTCTTCCCAGAAATCTGGAATTTTGGCATGAGTGAGGCACAGGGTGCTTGTGTGACTAGCCTATGACAAGACCTTTGGTTGCTGAGTTTTAATAGGCTTCTTTGGACAGAAGCATCACACAAACATTTCTGCATTTTTGTTGCTGGGAGAAGAATGTGATCTGTGTGAGCTCTTGTGGAATGTGAGAGCATAAGGGAGCCTGCAAATGGATCCGTGCAGACTCTGCTGGGGCCTGCTTCCTTTGTAATCTGGCTGTTTATCTTTACTATACTGCTTTAATAAATCCTAGTGTGAGTGCAACTTATGAGGAGTCCTATGAGTCCTTCTAGCTCATTTCTTAATGTGGGGGTGGTCCTGGGGACCCCAGACACACTTACTCTGATGAAGCAAGCTGCCACAAGCCATCCTGTGGAGTGGTCCACACGGCAAGGAACTGAGGGAGGCCTCTGGCCTACAGCCAGCAAGAGGGAGCTGAGGCGTTCAGTCCAACGGCCATATGGAAAAAAGGTCCACTTAAGTGAGCTTGGAAGTGAGTCCTCCCCCTGTTGGGCCTTCAGATGAGACTGCAGTCATGGTCAACTCCTGGTCTGCAGCCTTGTGAGAGACTTCGAGCCAGAGGCACTGCCTAAACTGGGCCTAGATTCCTGGCCTATAGAAACTGTGAGAGAATAAGTGTTTGTTGCTTTTAGCCTGTAAGTTGAGGAGTAATTTCTTATGCAGCAATAGGTAACTAATACAACCAACAGGGCTAGAATATAGGGGGTAACGGGAATGTGATAGGTGGTGGCCACAGAGTGGTAGACAGGGCGCAGATCGTATACGACCTTGAAGCTTATGGTAAGGATTTGGATTTTCTTCCATTGAAGGATTTGGAATAGGGAAATCTGGTTAGCACATTGTCTTCTTTAGACCACAGGTTTTCAACCCTGGCTGCATTTTAGAACCACTCAGGGAGCTTTTTAAAAATACCTATGCCACACCCCACCCTCAGAGATTCTGGCTCCGTTGGCCCTGGGAGAGGCTCCAGTGTTATTATTTTTTAAAAGCTCCCCAGGTAATTCTGATGGACAGCTCCAGCTGAGAATGAGATGTGCTTTAGGGTAGCAAACCTATGTGGAAAACCAGAGAGGATTGCTCAGAACAAAGGGAGAGAGTCACATATTTTCAATACTGAATTATTACATTAAATTAAGCAGGCCTGATATATCTAGGATGGCGTGCTCTTCTGTGTTCAGTGCTGGAGAAATAGTCACAATTGCTAACCCCTGGATTTTCCCTTTCTGCGATAACTGTCATCCATCTGTTCTTTTCACACAAGGTACAAGACTGTGGATTCAGCTTTAATTTTAAAGACACCAACACAGTCATACAAATATAAATCTTTGGCCTTCAACTCTTTCGATAAATTCCAACCAGTGGCGACTGAAAGAGTCTTTTGTCCTACATTTCCCCAAAAAAGGGGAACAAAATTAATTTTTTTTTTTGAGACAGTGTCTTACTGTGTTGCCCTAGCTGGAGTGCAGTGGTGTGACCTAGGCTCACTGCAACCTCCACCTACTGGGCTCAAGCGATCCTCCTGCCTCAGCCTCCCAAGTAGCTGGGACCACAGACGCACACCACTATGCCTGGCTAATTTTTTTGTGTTTTTGGTAGAAACGGGGTTTTACCATGTTGTTCAAGGTAGTCTTGAACTCCTGAGCTCAAGCAATTCGCCTGCCTCAGCCTCCCAAAGTGCTGGGATTACAGGTGTGAGCCACTACACATGGCCATTTCTTTAGCCTACTTAGCTCTCTTCTAAAATGACCAGATCTAATAATCTATATTATGTGAATCTATAATCAATATATGCATACAAGAACAAATTAAAAGACATGCAAATGCTTCAAAGAATCTCAGTTTCTTGAAACTTCAAACCCCATAGTGAGAAATGTAAGTATTAACATACCAAAACAGAACAAAACAAACATTTTCGTGAAACTACAATTTTGGACTATTATGTGTATTATATTTGTAATCAGTTATCTTTTATATTTTTGGCTAAAGAAATGTGTCTAGGCCAGACATGGTGGCTTATACCTGTAATCCCAGCACTTTGGGAGGTAGAGGCAAGAGAATCGCTTGAGCTCAGGAGGTTGAGGCTGCAGTGAGGTGTGTTCATGCCACTGCACTCCAGCCTAGGTGATAGAGTGAGCAAGACCTTGTCTCAAAATAAAAAAAAAAAAAAGAAATTCATCTGAATCTTAGATTTTGATCAACACACTAACATTCTTGACTGAAATATAATTTAAAATGTTAATGACGTTTAATTCAGTTGCAATGTAAACGTAAACATCTTGATTCGTAAGGTTTAATATTAAAAACTTCGTAGCTTTTTGAGGTGGAGAAGAAGATAATTATGTTTGCTTCTCCTTCCCTGTCAGTTTGGGGCCTGACTGGAAAGGAGATTCACTTGGGGAAAGTGCTGATCATGGTCTTGGGACTGGAGGAGTGAGGGAGTACCCTTACACTCATATTGAAAAGAAACAAAAATGGCATGTTCAAAAGCATGAAAGCCCAATCACTCATTCACTCAACAAACATATTGAGTGCATTGTATGCCAGGTGCCCTTCTATATGCTAGGGATATCGCAGCGAGCAATTCATACAAGCTCCCTATTTATGAAATTTCTTTATAGTGGGAGGTCGTGAACTGTCAGATAATAAACAAATGTCAGGTAGTAATAGGTGCTATTATTATAATAAAACATGATGTAATTGGAAAATGGGACAGGATAGAGGATGTCACTTCTGTTCATTTGAACGGTCTGTTAGATATCAAATTTACTTTAGAAGAAAACTATTTGACCCACAGTGTTCCAAGTATTTTTTAATTGCCTATTTTTATTATTTGGGAGATTTCACATAACAATCTGGATTTTTGTCTTCTCTTGAAAAATCAGATGATTATGCCGAACAGGTATTTCTGCATGACAACAGTGTTCTTTCAATAGGACATGTCATCTCCTCTTCTTCATAATCCCTCCTTTCCTAACAGAACAGCTTCCCTCATTTACAAGATCTGCCTGGCTTCTGAATTCTGAAGAATTATCAACTTCTGGGCTAGTAAAAGAATAAGGGCCAAGATAGAGTGTGCAATAGGATTCAAGGCAGGCAGAAAGCCATGAGCCGAGGAGCCGAGGGGAGCAGGCATAGATACCTGTGTAGACGTCCAAGATCACGTTTTGCTTGGTACCAATATGGCAATATGGGCTTGTAATGGCATACAGAGTCCTTTTTATTTTGAGACAAGGTCTTGCTTTGTCACCCAGACTGGAGCGCATTGGCCAGAACACAGCTCACTGCAGCCACCACTTCTCGGGCTCCAGTGATTCTCCCGCCTGAGCCCCTCAGGTAACTGAGACTACGGGCACACACCATCATGCCTGGCTAATTTTTGTATTTTTTGTAGTGACAGGATTTTGCCATGCTGCCCAGGCTGATCTCCAACCCCTGAGCTCAAGCAATCCACCCACTTGGCCTCCCAAAGTGTTGGATTACAGGCATAAGCCACCATGTCCAGCCCAGAGTCTATTTTTTGAAAGTGTCCAGAGTGGACTAGAAACTTTAGTATGATGGAATAAAGCAATGAACCAGTGGTCAGGGTCTGAGGTAAATAGCTATATAGTTTTACATGGTCACATGTTTTTACATGACTATATGTTTTTCTAAAATTTGCAAAAGTAGGATAATTTCAGATTTCTCATCTATTAGACATTCCCCAATGTCAGATGGCATTGAAATGGCAGTGGGCATTTTAAGAATCCAGCTAAAGAAAGTTGAGTTGGGAATATGCCACATTTACTGCAATTTGGAAAACCATTTTGGAATGTTCCAGTACAACTAGCTAGAAATTATCGACTGCTAGTTTGGAAACACGTGAAGGGTGCTTTCTTTTATTAACTTTAAATTTAGTTACTAAAGAATTGAGAAAAAATTCTGATTAAAAACAGTAATGGAATATGAAACAAAAGACATACAGGAGAACAGTACAGTCAATGGAGATTATTCTGACATTGAGAGGCAAATGGCAGCAATTTTTTTTTCAGAGCATAACAAAAGCAGTAACTCAAAAAAAAGGAAGAGACAGGGTTATTGAATTGTTGGATACTCCAACCTGTGAAGAAGAGTTGATCACATGGAAAACAATGTAAATTTCTCACTGATTTGACATATGTGTGGTTACTATGTATTGCCTTTTTGACTGCTTTTTGAAAAATGGATGAAGGCCCTTTAAATAATTTTTGCTTGCCAGCTGGCTCTGAAGCTTTGAGAATAGAAGGCGCTGGAGAGACATTGCAGGAGGAAACGGGTTTGCTTCCTGGTTGCGATGGGCTTGGATAGGTTCCTGCAGCACACAAGATTTCAGCTTATGCCTTCTCCAGCATCAGACTCCTGCAGTGTATAAGGTTTCTCCAGCACGGGCTCCTGCAGTGCTTGCAGCTTCTCCAGGGCCCAGCCTCTGCAGCACGCAGCAGCCTGCAGCTTCCCCTGGCAGCCTCTTAGGCAGTTGTGTGAGAGACCTCTCCATCATCAGCTTTCACCAGCACTCCACAGGGCAGTTTCCTGGCAAGTTCCACTGCTGAGCACCACACCAGCCTCTCTGCATATCTGCAAGTCAATGTCTGTTCTCAGTCCTGGTTGTGGAGGAGGAGGTCTTGGTGGCTCTATCTTAGCCTTGGGGATAGTAGCTGCTCCTATTATCTGTGATTTCTGTATTTTCTTGGTTTGTTCTCTTTACTTCTTTTTATTAAACTTTATCTATTATCTATCAAATTACTGTGTGATTTTTCTCTCCCATTTGCACGCAGACTGATACAGCATGAAATTCCAATATCTATGAATATAACACAAATTTACTACATATAAATACGAGAATATTGATGACAAACTGGTTAATGGCTGTCATTAACTTAAAGAGTATTTAAAATTAGCCAAAAAACATACAAATGCCTCAAGAAGTTTACAGCTCGTACATGAAAGAAACTTGATAGAGGTTTTTCCAAATTTGACCATTTTTAGGATTTGACAATCCTAAAAATTTATAAAGCCTTACAAATAAGAATTATAAAACTAAAATAAATTTTTCTAAACTATAATAAAAAACAAACTTTGATCCACTATGCTGGAGGAAAGACCAAATTGCCTTTCAATTCTCTTCAATTAGGAAATATTATGAAATTATCACATGAAGATGTGATTGAAGAGTATGCAGTCAAAAAAGGCAGGAAAGAATAATAGAGGTGTGTCAAGCAATAGATTAATAATAGTGTTATGATATTTTCTAGACTTTGTAATGTTTATGGTGTTTGTCAGCTTTTTAAAATGTGTAATGTGGCTAGGTGTGTTACAGGAAAGCAGTCCCGATCCAGACCCCAAGAGAAGGTTCTTGGATCTCACACAAGAAAGGATTCAGGGCAAGTCCACAGTGCAAAGCAAAAACAAGTTTATTGAGAGAGTAAAGTGGTCAAAGTACAGCTACTCCATAGACAGAGTAGGGCCTTCCCGAAAGTAAGAGGAGGAACGCATCCACCCTTTGTACAATACTTGTTTATATATGGGATAAAAAAAGGTCATGGGGAGATGTGCTGTGCTACAAGGGTTTATGATAAAGGGTTAATTTTCTTAATTACTGTATTTTGCAAGAATCTATATCATTATCTTTAAATCAAAATTAGGAATGCATCTCTTCTCAAGCTATCAGGATATCTATCGGGTCCCTCCCAAGTCTGTTTAGTAAACATTATCAAGCTGTTCCTTAATTTAACATCTAGAGGCCAGGAATACCCAACTTTCTGGGAATGCAGTCCTAGCTTCATTTTCCTAGCCCTCACTCAAGATGGAGTCGCTCTGGTTTGAACACCTCTGACAGGTGTGGTGGCTCACATCTGTAATCCCAGTACTTTGGGAGGCTGAGGTGGGAAGATCACTTGAATCTAGGCTGGGCAACATAGCAAGACCCCAGTCTCTACAAAAGAAAAATTAAAAAAATTAATTTGGCGTGATGACACGCACCTGTAGTATCAGCTACTCAGGAGGCTGAGGTGGTAGAATCACTTGAGCCTGGGAATTTGAGACTGCTACAGTGAGCCAGGATTATGCCACTGCACTCCAGCCTAGGTTACAGAGCAAGCCGTATCTCAAAAATAAATAAGTAAATAAATAATAAGATTTGCAATGTGTGGTGATTTCTTTTCTCCTTATAGACACTTCTTTGCATATCTAATATTTTATTAATAATTGTGTACTATTTTTCTTAAAGAAGATCTGCCAGTTGTATAAGTTTGCCCTCAAATCTGGTTTGGGCCCGGATTTGGATGGTGACCAGCTAGCTCTCTGGTCCCCATCTTGTACTGAGAGGGTTTGTCTGGATCAGAGAGTCTCCACCAGGCAACTCCCTCCCCGGAGAGGTGCTACTGATAAGGCAGTCTGTGCCTGTGGATGGCATGGAACAGGAGCAAAATGTCAACTCCTGGTTTGGATGAATTCAATTCCCAAATTCTAAGATCCCAATGACATAGTCTCTGCAGAAATGTCCTCACCCAATATGCAGGAGGAAGAAAAAAGTAACCCCCACCCCCATATGTTGGGGCAATTCAGCTTCTGCTGGTGTTAAACATAAAGAGCAGGGCTCTGCTGGCTCTGTGTGCCCGCTGATACCATGTTGGGATGACCGACATTCCCCCACCCAGAGGTCCAAACAACATTTTAAAAGTCTCATCCTACACGCTGTTCTGATGCCTGGAATTCAAGACATCAGAAGATGTCATCATCAAAGAGACAAAGCCTTTATTTCTGCAATAAAAAACAAAGCTGAAGATATAGATAGCCTCAGGAAATGTAATCCTGAAGTTCACTCCAAAATGACTGCAATTCTTTCCTTTTCTTCACAGTTTTGTGTGAGGAAAGGAAAAGGGGGAATGATTGGAGAGCAATTTCAGAGAGAAGAGAGTTCCTTTTCCATGTCAAAAGGAGCAGTACGGAGACAAACGATTTCCACATTCAAGTTCTGCCTGAAGCCTGGTTGGAAAAGCTGGCTAAAAAACAGGGGAACATTTTTAATAAGAAAAATATACATGAATGTATTCATAGTGGATAGAAATAGCCTTAAATATGTAAAGGAAGAAGGAAAACCATCAGGAAATACTTACTGCCAGCCCTCCAAGAAATATGAGATGGAAAATTACAATGAGCTTACCACAAAGCTGCTCTGACTGGAGGGCGTGACTTTTCATATTTAACAGCATGTCTGGTAATGTTTCAGGGAATCTCATTACTCTTTATTCCTTATTTCTCCTCATGGGGAGATAAATTTGGCTGCATTTTCTTTTTTGGAAAGGCACTGTTTTAGTTTTGCTTTTGTCATTTTTGAGAAAATACATATATTGTAACATTTGCCCCCTTTATATTTGACAAACATTTTTACATGGATGATAGATCTCTATGAGAAAATGTCTAATGCTGGGATATCCATTAAATATCTTTCATTTCTATAATTATAGGAAGAGTCCAAGTTATGATATGTGTCTCTCCTGTTGCAACTGTCCTTTTTGGGAGGAAGTTGCACGTACGTAATAAAGACAGAGGGTCAATACTTTTATAACAAAGTTTTGTCTGTGAGCATCATTTTACAACTAGAAAGCACTGCGGTGATCATCTACTTTAAGCTTAAGGAAATAGAGGCCCACAAAAGTTAAAATATTTAATATTTGACCATTGGTACGAAAGCTGAAACTAGAATTTAAATTATTTTTTCTTCATACTGGAGAGTCTCATAGCATGAGTACTCCAACAGGGGGCCCTCTCAAGTAAAGTGGCCTATAGATATTGGCTGATTGCAGGAAGATCAGAAGGCTGAGTTTTTTGTCTTAGGTCACTGCAACATAGTCCAAAAAATAATACTGACTATCTGGTGTCACATGTTCTTTTTTCTTTCTTTCTTTCTTTATTTCTGTTGTTGTTGTAGCTGAGACAGGGTCTTGCTCTGTCACCTAGGCTGGAGTGTAGTGGCGCGATCATGGTGCAGTGCAGCCTCAACCACCTGGACTCAGGTGACCCTCCTACCTTAGCCTCCCAGGTAGCTGGGACTAGAGGCATGCACTGCCATGCCTGGCTAATTTTTAGTATTTTTTGTAGAGACATGGTTTTGTCATGTTGCGCAGGCTAGTCTCAGGCTCTTGGGCTCAAGCAATTCACCTGCCTCATCCTCCCAAAGTGCTGGGATAACAGGCATGACCTACTACCTCTGGCCTTTTCTTCTTTTTAAAAACAATGTTTTTAACTTTTATTTTGATACAAGGGTTACATGTGCAGGTTTGTTATATGGGTATATTGCATGATGGTGAGGTTTGGAGTATGGATCCCTTTACCCAGACAGACAGCATAGTACCCAATAAGTAGTTTTTTCCACCCCTTCCCTTCCTTCCTCTGTCCCCACCTACTAGTTTGCAGTGTCTATTATTCCTTTCCTTGTGTGCACATGTGCTCAGTGTTTAGCTCCCACTTATTAGTGAGAGCATGTGGTATTTGGTTTTGTTTTTGTATTCATCCACTAAGACTTATGGCCTCCAGTGGCATACATGAAAAGAATGAAATTGTGTCCAGCTGCAAAGGACACAATTCCATTCTTTTTTTGGGTATGTAGTGTTCCACGGTGTATATGTACCACAGTTTCTTTATCTGATCCACTGTTGACAGGTACTTAAGTTGATTTCATGGCTTTGCTACTGTGAATAGTGCTACAATGAACATACAAGTGCACATGTCTTTTTGGTGAAACAATTTGTTTTCTTTTGGGTATATACTCATTAATGGGATTACTGGGTTGAATGGTAGCTGTGTTTTTAAGTCTTTTGTGAAATCTCCAAACTGCTTTCCTGATGTCACATTTTCTTCTTTTACTAAGCCACATAACGTGCCCAATTATTTTTGAGGTCTTCATTTTATCTTCAGTGAACTCTCGAATGTTTTTTTTTTAAGTTCTATACCCTAGAATCTAGAAAGTGGGATTAGCATGGAAAACCAAATTACAGGAACAGTAGAAATTGTGGGCTGAAAACATACTTATTTCAGAATGTCTCTGGATCATAGTTTCTGTCTGTATTACATCAGCAATGACAATGTTTTGATTAACTTAGGAAAGGTTGAGTTTTTCTTTTTTTTTTGGCTCACTGCAAGCTCCGCCTCCCCGGTTCACACCATTCTCCTGCCTCAGCCTCCCGAGTAGCTGGGACTACAGGCGCCTGCCACCACACCCGGCTAATTTTTTGTATTTTTAGTAGAGACGGGGTTTCACCATGTTAGCCAGGATGGTCTCAATCTCCTGACCTTGCGATCTGCCTGCCTTGGCCTCCCAAAGTGCTGGGATTACAGGCGTGAGCCACCGTGCCTGGTCAAGGTTGAGTTTTTCAAAGTTCTTTCTCAGGAGCATGATTTGATTGGCTACAGTAAGTAGTTGTGGGTGATACTCAAAGGCCTTCTTCATATACTCTCTAGGCCCACGTGGGTAGGTGTACAGGTTGTGGCCTGCACAAGGGCACCAGGCCTGGCAGGATGGAAGTGGAGGCTGAGGTAGAGCCCATGCTCTGGTCATCAAGCTCTATACCCTGAAAGGGGTTGCAACAGCTAAAAGAAAGGGATGCCGAAGCCTCTCCATAGTCCTGCATTTGACTTCACTTTAGTACCAGCATGATTTGTGTAGACTCTCGTGTAAGATTAACTAGTTTAAGAAGCAGACCACCACAGTGAAGAAAAAGACATCAAAGGAACTAAGAAACATATTGAATCACAATATGTATGCCCTGGCAAACATAACTCCCTCCAAATGCCTCTTTGTATATTTATTCTTTATTGGTTCAAATCAGACATCAAGGAGTTCATTTAGGGCAGTGACCACATTCATATAATGAGAGTGGAAAAATATTTCAATCAAAAATCAGGTCTTGATTATGGAAATCATACAGGAGTGAAATATTATGAATGTAATGAATATTGGACGACTTTCAATTCTAGGTTTACATGACACCAGAGAATTCATGCTGGAAAGAAGAGAGAAGGAATTCTCTAGATGTGGTAAGCCCTTCGGCTGCTGGTCAAATACCTTTCATCACCAGAGAGCACATACCCAGTTAAATATGTGGTGCAATCAATGTAGAAATATGAGGATTTTATAGAATGGAAGATCCCCATTTGATTCAAGATCATTAGTAGATTTTTAGCTTATTAAGAACAAATTCCATGTTTTTCTAATTCCATTTTGATTTTACTTGACAAAATATCACTCAACAAGGGTTATTAGTTGAAGCGTTGAAGACATATGAGAAGCCTCCTGCCGCTCAGAGATTTTTGTTTTTCCTAAATGTCTGTTGCCCAAGGCACAATCCCTTGCCTTTTCTTATGTTGTTTTCTATGCCAAGAAATCTTTCTCCATCTCTTCAACTTAACACTCTAAAATGTCACTTTGTCCAGCTGTCTTTGACTTTTCTAAGATGAGTTAGTCACTGTCTCCAGCCCTACCTTCATACTTTATTCATAAACGTACTACAATTCCTGGCATTATTATGGTTTGTTTATGGCTTGCTATGCCAGTGGATTGTGAATTTTCATTGTTGTTTTAGTTGTTGGATGAATGGATATCTTCGCAGTGCTAAGAGAAAATGCTTTTATGTAGTTTGATGTTCTCAGAAACATCTGTAGCCAGAATTAAAAAAGAGAAAAGAGTTTAAATCAGTATTTTTTTAAATTGTGCTCATACTATAATAAAAAGCACTACTGAGAAAGAATGAGACACAGTCCTTTTCCCTAAAAGTAGTAAAAACATGCTGGGTGTGGTGGTTCACACCTGTAATCCCAGTGACACAAGAGGCTGAGGTGAGAGGATCACTTGAGCCCAGGAGTTGGAAGCTGCAGGGAACCAGGACTGCATCACTGCTCTCCAGCCTAGGTAACACAGCAAAACCCCCAATCTAAAAAAATAAAAGTAGTAACAACAGTCTAGTGGGGGAGATAAGGCATGTAAATAAACGACCACTGGGTGAGGCAGAAAAAGTGTACTGAGTGTGTAACGCCAAAGGTTCTTTTGTTTGTTTGTTTTTTGTTTTTTGTTTTTGAGACGGAGTCTCGCTCTGTCGCCCAGGCTGGAGTGCAGTGGTGCGATCTCAGCTCACTGCAAGCTCCACCTCCTGGGTTCACACCATTCTCCTGCCTCAGCCTCCCGAGTAGCTGGGACTGCAGGCGCCCGCTACCACGCCCGGCTAATTTTTTTTTGTATTTTTTAGTAGAGACGGGGTTTCACCGTGTTAGCCAGGATGGTCTCGATTTCCTGACCTCGTGATCCGCCTGCCTCGGCCTCCCAAAGTGCTGGGATTACAGGCGTGAGCCACCGCGCCCGGCAACGCCAAAGGTTCTTGCTTTAGCCACACCAAAGAATTGGTGCGGCGGCTGCCTGTGGTGAATGATGGAGACACTGACCAAGAGAAAAAAAGCTGCAGGCTTTATTGAGCAGAGTGACAGTACAAAGCTTCCACAGCATGGAAGGGGTCCCCAGCGGGTAGCCAGAGTTAGATTATGCAGTTGCCTTTTAAACTCTTTAAGGCAGGAAATACGTGCAGAGGGAAGATGTTACCAGAGCAAGAAACAAAGGCAGTAAATTATTTTGTGACATGTCTTAGATTTTGAGGAATATCGGAATTGTAACTTAGGTTTTATCTACTTTATGACCTTGCAGTGGCATGACAAAGGAGACGGGAATTTACAGGACTTTACAAAGTATGTTTACAAGGAATTGGAATTGGGAGCATAGATGAGGTCCACTGGTCACAGAGAAATGGTCAGTTAACATTCCTTTTAGTTTCAGGGGAGAGGGAAGGGAGACAGGGAGAGAGGACACAGGGAAGCTTATAGCAAAATTTTCACTGTTTATAGCTTTCTTGGGGGAAGAAAACACATGTACAAATCCTGGTGTTAGGAATATTTTAAGCATATGTTTTCAATATTATTCATCCAGGACAGAAGGAAGTCCTGATGCAGGAAATGAATGAGTTTCACAACTTTCTGAGCCCCTGCAGGACCCAGGAAGCCCGGCTGGTCCCTCCTCTCAGTCCTCGCTCTAGACAGGACACCCCAACTGCTGTTGGGAACTGGGCAGCGGTCATTCTGGCTACTTTTTGCTGATTAGGGGCAAAGAAGGGGCCCTGCAGTTGTGGTGTCCTCCAGAGGGGAATTTTTTGGCTAGTCGAGGGACCAGCAGGTTGATCCAGGAGTCCTCGATAGAAGCCGTGAGTTGAGCTCACTTGAGGTTCCATTTGTAAGACCATTTGTAGCTTGATGGCCTGGAACCTGGAGGAAACAAATTTGACAAGGAGGTTAAAAATGCAAGGCCCAAAGGCGAGTAATAGTAGGATGGCTGTCACAGGGCCTAGAAAGGGGAGGAGCCAAGGTATCCATTGGTTAAACATATTCCAGGGTCCTGAGTGTTCAAGCTCTTTTTTCTTACTTTTTATCCGTTCTTTTATTCTTTTTGACCTTTTTAGTAATGATTTCTGACAGGTTAACGAAATAGCAACATTCTTTTCCTAAGAAGAAGCAGGTTCCTCCTCTTTCAGCTATTAATAGGTTTAGGGCTCTTCGGTTTTGAAGGACTACCGCAGCTAGAGAATTAAGCTGGCTTTGTAGGGTCACTAGGGAGTCAAAATGCCACGGAATGCAGAAGAAGGCATCTTTGAAGTCTAGAACAGAACCATTCTGCTTTCTCTGGTATTTGAGAGAGCAGTGTATAGGGGTTGGGTACAGCAGGATATAAAGGAATTACTGCCTTATTGACGATTCTGAGGTCTTGCACTAGTCACTGATCATTTGGTTTTTGTATTCCTAGGATTGGGGTGTTGCAAAGACTGCTATATTTTCTTACTAAGCCTTGAGCTTTTAAATGTCTAACAGTATCCTGTAATCCTTTGTGAGCTTTAGGCCTTAAGGGATGTTGCCTTTGATAAGGAGAAGTGGTGGGGTCTTTTAGCCTGATTTGAACTGGATGGGCATTCTTTGCCTTTCCAAATTGTCCTTCCAAGGGCTAGACTTTAGAGTTGATTCCTTTTTCAAGTAGGGAACAACAAATGGGTAAGTTGTTCCCCATATTCACGTAGATAATAGCCCCAGCGTTGGCTAATATGTCCCTCCCTAATAAGGGTGTGGGACTTTTGGGCACAACAAGAAAGGCATGTGAAAAGACCAAAGTCTCCCAATTGCAGTGGAGGAGGTGAGAGAAATACCTGGTTACAGGCTTTCCTAAGATTCCTCAGGTAGTGACGAACTTTGAGGGCAGTTGTTCGAGGCAGGAGATTAAAACTGAGAAGGCCGTGCCAGTGTCCAGGAGGAAGTCCACTCCCTGGCCCTCAATGGTCAGACTTACCCAGGGATCTGTGAGGGTGATGGCATGAGTTGGCGCTTGCCCCGGGCACCCTCGGTCCTGTTGCTGAATCATCTGGTTGGGCACTTCTGGCCCAGAGGGCCTTTGTTCTCTGGGGCAGTGTGCCTTCCAGTGATTGCCTTGGCATATTGGACATGGGCGAGCGGGCGGTTTGTTTCTGGTTGGGCAATTTTTCTTAAAGTGTCCTTGCAAACTGCACTGATAACAAGCCCTACTAGGCAATTGGCCTGCTCCTCTCTTGGTTCCCTCTTAGCCACCAAGGTTTGCCTGTATGAGGGCCATGACTAAGGCTGCAGCCCTTTTTTTTAACCTCGCTTTTCCCTTTTGGCCAGTTCTTCTTGGTCCCTGTTACAGAACACCGAGGTTGCCAAATTTAATAATGTTTCCAAATTTTGTTCTGGGCCTAACAAACTCCAGACTTCTGGAGTTTTCTCCTAATGTCAGCCACTGATTGGGTGACAAATTTATCCTTTAAAATGAGTTGGCCTTCTACAGAATCTGGAGTTAGGGAGGTGTGCTTTCTTAGGGGCTCCCTTAGCCTTTCTATAAAAGCAGAGGGGTTTTCCTCTTTTCCCTGTGTAATTGTGGATAGTATTGAGTAGCTCGTAGGCTTTTTCCTAGTCTTCCTCAACTCATCTAAAAGACAAGTTAGCAAATGCCTGCGGCTCCAATCTCCATGATCTGAGTCAGTATCTTAATGAGGGTCTACAGTGGGGACTGCCTGTTGCCCTGTGGGGAATTTTCCCCTCTCCTCCAGGGCCATTCGATCGTTTACCTGGCTAAGGTACCACAGATCCCCAAATTGCCGGGCTGCTGCTAAAGCTACTTCTTTTTCAGTGGGACTTAAGGTCTGATCAAGAAGTAACATGATATCTCTCTGTGTTAGATTAAGGGACTGCCCCGATGCCTGCAGGACATCTATATAGTTATCAGGATCATCTGAGAATTTCCCTAAATCTGCCTTTATTTGTTTTAAATCTGAGAGTGAGAAGGGGGCATGCACATGAATGGGCCCAAATTCTCCTTCTACTGCTTGTAAGGGACATAGTTTGGGTGCCTGGCTCGTGGAGTTTATGTTCTCTTTCCGGTGTGCCTTTAACACTTCAGTGGGGCCAGATGGAGGAGAGTCAGTTGGGGAGGAGAGTGGGGCAGAGGGAAGAGGCCCTGAGGATGGAAGCAACTGTGGGCCTCTGTCATTTGGGCAAAGCTTGCAGGCTTGGCACAGGGCAGTATTGTCATGAAGGGCAAAGAAAGCCTGTGCATAAAGGACTTTACTCCATTTACCTTTCCGTTTACAGAAAAGATCTAGTTGTAGAAGGGTGTTATAATTAATACTTTCCTCAGAGGGCCAAGTTTCTCCATTTTGTAAGGAATACTGTGGCCAGGCAGTGGTACAGAAGAAAATCAGCTGCTTTTTTTTAAGGTTTCAGGGTCGAATTTGTCCCAGTTATTCAGGATACATCTTAAGAGAGTGTCTGGTTTTGAAGGTGTGGTGCCCGTCTGGAATTTTAAACACAGGGATGCCTCCACCCCTGGTTAGTCCTGGGACCTGTCTTCCCTTAGGGCATCCCCCAAGGGTCAGGTCCAACTGTTGCTCATAGCTCATGGCTGCTTTTCCTGAGCCCTCCATCTACCAGATTTAACCATGCTTACCGGTGGGATGGAAACTTCCCTTGCACCTGCCATGTGCCCATTGACCACTAAATGGGGCACAAGGACCGTTGGATTTATTGTGGTCCTTTTGCCAACGTGTTCTACCTGTTCCAGGGTGGCAAGGCCTGGGTCAGGGGCACCACTGATGCTTGCATGCTAAGGCCCAATTTACATGGGCCTGGCCATAAAACAGTCCTTTAAGGAGAAATCTCTGAATTAGCGACAGGAGGCTTAGTAAGCTTAAAGGGGGTGGTGCATGTCCTCTAGGCCAGGGCCGAGAGAACAGCTGCTGTACTCTAGCCTTCTGTTCCCACTTGCCATCAAAGGAGTAAGCTCCTCTCTCAAGGCAGTACCAGTATCCTGTGACCCAACTGACTATATTTTCTTTCATTCAGTACCAATTATTGAATGGTTGAAATAACAATTCAACGGCTCTAAGAGCTGTACCCATGCACCACAGACTGTACTTGAGAGGCCCCAAGGAAGGGGAAGGTCTATTTGGGGAGTAATGGAGGAAATGCCCTAAGGCTTCTATTATCCACACGAAAATTACAGACCTGTCTTTAAATTGTCCTGATTGGGGGTCCCATACACTATGGTGGGGAACTGGCCCTTTAAAATAGCCATCAAATGGTGACACTTGCCTAAACCCTGACGGGCACCATGAACGGGGATCTTCTGGGCACCACCCCAAGAATTTAAGACTTTTAAATAGGGAATTTTGATCCTGTCTAGTGGGAATAACCTTGCTTGCAAGATGAGGAAAGAAGTCTAGTGGGCAGACATTAGGACCCAGGAGGCAGGGGTCAGAAGATGTGGCTGTCTCACACTCAGTAACCCATGCAGGGGGAGCCTCTGGCAGGGCCATGGTCTCAACCAGGAAATCTGGGAAACTAGAACGTTTGCTGAGCACTCCTGGGTGTACTTTGGGACCACCATGGAAAGTGAAAGAGTTAGAACTGGGTCTAGGCTAACCAACGCTCCCAACCCTGAAGGGTTGGGGTTTGTTAGAGAGACCTTTTCCAGACAGCCTGACACCTGTGTCTTTAGTCTGGTGGCCACACTAATCGCCTTTAAGTGGCCGACAGGTGCCCAGTTTTTAGCCTCATAATTCTAAGGAAGGACAGGACAGAAAAGCAAGCGAAAGAGGTCCAATAGTACTCACCGCGTGACAATCTACATGCCTTTCCTGGATCTCCTGGCTGGCTTGCCAAAATGTAACATCAAAGGTTCTTGCCTTAGCCACGCCAAAGAATTGGTGTGGCAGCTGCCCCCAGCGAGAGATGGAAACACGGACCAAGAGAAAAAAAGCTGTAAGCTTTATTGAGCAGAGTGACAGTACAAAGCTTCCACAGCATGGAAGGGGTCCCGAGCAGGTAGCCAGAGTTAGATTATGCAGTTGCCTTTTAAACTCTTTAAGGCAGGAAATATGTGCAGAGGGAAGATGTTACCAGAGCAAGAAACAAAGGCAGTAAATTATTTTGTGACATGTCTTAGATTTTGCGGAAAATCGGAATTGTAACTTAGGTTTTATCTACCTTATGACCTTGCAGTGGCATGGCAAAGGAGACAGGAATTTACAGGACTTTACAAAGTATGTTTACAAGGAATTGGAATTGGGAGCATAGATGAGGTCCACTGGTCACAGAAAAACGGGCAGTTAACATTCCTTTTAGTTTTAGGGGAGGGGGAAGGGAGACAGGGAGAGAGGACACAGGGAAGCTTATAGCAAAATTTTCACTGTTTATAGCTTTCTTGGGGAAGAAAACACATGCACAAATCCTGGTGTTAGGAATATTTTAAGCATATATTTTCAATATTGTTCATCCAGGACCAAAGGAAGTCCTGATGCAGGAAATGAGTGAGTTTCACAACTTTCTGAGCCCCTACTGGACACAGGAAGCCCAGCTGGCGCCTCCTCTCAAGTGTGTCAAGGGAAATACAAGTGAAGTGCTATGGAAGAGCAGAAGGGAAGACCTTACATCCTGCTTTGAGTTGGGAGTAGGGGTGTCGAAGAGAAGATATTGGCCTTTTGTCAATATTTGGCAGCATGGTTGGATGGTGGTGTTCTGGGTCTCATTCCTGGAGGCCCAGCTTACAGCTTGCTCTTGCAACCCTTTCGATAAATTTATAAGCACTCAGATTCTCTGAATAAGGTCTCTTTTAAATTAAATAATGAGAGTATTTTATGGCTCCTGTGACTGACCCTTACCTGATACACTTCCAGTCACAGTCAGAATCAATCTAAAGTCCTTACCAAGGCCTACCAGCCCGGAACCATCCAGCCTTAGCCACTTTCTTACTGTCTCTTTCACTGACTCTGCTTAAGCTACATGTCACTTTTGCATTTTTGTTCTTCCCTGAACACACTAAGCTTGCCTTACTTAGGGCTCTGGGACCTGCTGTTCTTATCCTTGTGGATGCATGGCATGACTCATTCACTTGTTTTTCATGTCTCTGCTCAAATATCACTTCTTCATGGAGATCTTCTCTGACTACCTATCTAGAATATCACTCCCTGTCAGCTTGTCCCTTTACCTTCCTTTATTTTTCTTCATTATACCTATTATCTATCATAATTTATATGTGGTTAAAGCCTGTCTGCCCCCGTTGAACAATAAGCTTTTTGCTAATTGCTCTATTCTCAGAGGGTCAAACAATTCTTGGCATACAATAGGTGTTTCATAAATATTCTTTGAATGAATTCCCATTTTACAGAAGAGGAGACCTGAGGCAAAGAATGATTAAGTGACTTATCCAGGTTTACACAGTGAGTGGCAGAGCTGGAGTCTGAATTCAGGTGGTCTGACATGGGAGCGTTTGTTCTTCTGCAGGACACTGCACTGCTTCCCCAGCATAGCCAGCCTTTCTTCAAGCCTGTGTGTACCCCATCTGAAGAAAAACTGGTACTGCTGTTAGAAAAAGAAAAGAAAGAAACATGCTTAAGCATTTGCCTGTCCAAGAGAGGGATGTCCTGACCCACAAACACAACTGCCTGCCCGTGGGGCAGCAGACCCCTGTGGTGGAGACAGGTGGCAGAACAACAACAACAAAAAAAGACGTGGCTCAGCACCCTGCCTGTGAGATCCTGCAAGTAACTCCACCCACTCAGCCTGATTCTAAAACCATTCGTCCCGCTGCTTCCCAACCTGCAAATATACGCAATGCTCTCAAAATTACCCCCTCTCTACTCTACACCTGGATATTATCGAGACAGTCGTGGGATTTTTAAGTACCACAGGGGCTAGTTTTTACTCTTGTTCCATTTTCCTCATCCTTTTTTTCCTTTTTCTCCCTTCTTTCTGTTTCTTTTTTTTCTTTTCTCTTCTCTCCTTACAGTTTAACAAACAAATCCATTCAATGATAATTTTACACATTTAAACATATTAAATACAGAAATAACAGAAAGTGTTAACTTGTTAATAGTTCCGCTTTAGGCCACCAGAGAGGGAGGTTGATGGCTTTGTGTCACGGGGCCCTTTTGCCACCAGCCTAGGGTTAGGGTCTCTGTCATTTTCTCTCATGCTGTGCTGTGTTGTAGCTCCCTGTGAGTCTCCATGGTGTAGTGAAATGAGCAAGGCTCTGCTGTAAGACAAGTCTGGGCTCAAGTGCTGGCCTACCTCTTATTGGGGTGTCCTTTACCAGCTTTCTTACCTTTCTCAGCCTCTGATCAAAGCTCACTGCAGCCTCAACCTTCTGGGGACAAGCGAGCCTCCCGCCTCAGCCTCCCAAAGTGCTAGGACTACAGGCATAAGTGACTATGCCTGGCCCAAGCCTGTTTTCTTATCTGTAAAATTGGAACAACAACAAAAAAGTATTCTTTGTAGAGTTGTGTGAGAATTAGAGATAATGTATGTAAAAAATCTGGCACCAGTAATGAAACACAGTAAAACTACAAAAGGAAAGCAAGTTTTTCCTCTGTTTTCCCTACATTAAAACATAATAACATTAAATGATTATTCTGACTGTATGTGGAATCAATTTGCACAATTCATTTTCTGTACATATATCTTACCTATTAGAGATTGAACTGCTTTTTTTTTTTTTGTCCTAGACAGAGTCTCGTTCTGTCGCCCAGGCTAGAGTGCAGTGGTGCGATCTCAGCTCACTGCGACCTCCGCTGTCCAGGTTCAAGAGATTCTGCTGCCTCAGCCTCTGGAGTAGCTGGGATTACAGGCACGCGCCACCGCACCCAGCTAATTTTTGTATTTTCAGTAGAGACAGGGTTTCACCATGTTGGTCATGCTGGTCTCAAAACTCCTGACCTCCTGATCCACCTGCCTCGGCCTCCCAAAGGGCTGGGATTACGGGCATGAGCCACCGCACCTGGCCTGAACTACTTTAAAAAATCTTTGTTCAAGTACCTGTTGCAAGATATTTTCATTCAAATGTGATATAAATTAACACTCTATTTTGTTCTATATCTAAAAGTTTTCTAAAAGCTAAGACTTTTATAAAGATAAAATAGATCTTTTGTCTGAATTTAAATTTAATCACATAATACTGTGCTATTATAGTCCATTTATATTTAGACTGATATGTCTTCTCCAATATGGAAGGCAAATTGTATGAGGAGCTATCCTATTCTAATTATATGACTTCAGTGTCTTCTATAACAATTTTTAGTTGTTAACACTCAGAACTTACTAGGGTGCAGGGAAATGGGTGCTCTTAAACATTCTAATGGAAGTTAAATTGAAGCAGTCTTCTTGAGAGCTACTTGGCTTACAGAGTTCTTTAAAAGTTCACACCCTTGATTCCAATAATTCCACTTATACGAATCTGTTCTAAGAAAATAAGGTGTACGTAAGCTATTATTGAATAAGGATGTTTACTAAAACATCACTTTAAAATAGACAAAAATAGTAAACCTCCTGAATGCTCAACAATAGAAGAATGATTAAGATAAATTATTAGCTCCTGAAAAGTCATTTTGGGCTTAATGGCACTGGAATATTTTGGGATATAATTATAATTTTAAAAAGCAGAAAAATGTATAATAATATAATATATAACAAAATATAAAACAATATATAACAATATAAGCATATAATACATATAAAGTAGTATAAAAATAATTAATATGCTGCAATCCCAGTTTTGTGAAGGAAACCCTTTATTTATAGATGCATAGAAAAAAGAATGAAAGGTCGGGCATGGTGGCTCACACCTGTAATCTCAGCACTTTGGGAGGTGGAGGCGGGCAAATTGCCTGAGCCCAGGATACATGGCAAAACCCTGTCTCTACAAAAAATACTAAAGTTAACCAGGAGTGGTGGCACATGCCTATAGCCCCAGCTACTCGAGAGGCTGAGGTGGGTGGATCACCAGGAAATCAAGGCTGCAGTAAGCCAAGATTTCTTCACTGCACTGCAGCCAGGGCATCAGGTGAGACCCTATCTCAAAAAAAAAAAAAAAAAAGACAACATATATAGGAAAATGTTAATGTTGAGGGCAGTAGGAATTTTATTTTCTTCTCTGCAATTTTCTGTATTTTGTACTATGATGAAAATATGTTATTTTGATAACCAAGAAAATCATTATAAAACAAGGAAAATAAATTTAAGGGATTTAATTTCACCCTTAACTGTAGACTTCAAAGCACCAATCAGCAGGTTGGAGCACCCCACAAGCAAATGGTAAGCTATATGTAAGTCCCACACTCACTGTAGGTGCTTCCAGTCACATCTTTCTGGTGCCTAACCCTAACCAGTTCCTGCTGTTACCAAGTGTGAGGCAAGAAGAGAAAGGCAGGAGTGCCCATGGAGTGAGTGCCAGCCTCTTCCAGGCTCAGTGCCCAAGAACTATCCCTCACCATGCACACTCCACTGAATGGTCTGCTTTCAAATTTTCACTCACTCTTTCCTTACACTTTCCACTTCCCTGGGAGGCACTAGTGTCAGGCAACTGTACTAGGCACTGGAAATATGCAGATATATGTTTTGCCTTCCTGGACTTCTGGCGGGAAAAAGAGAAGGAACAATAAACCAACATGCCAGCTGCCACAAAGAGCTGCAAGGGCACAGACACCTTAGCCCAGACTGATTACCAGGACAGGCTTCTTGGATGAGTTGATGTGTATTCCATAATTATTCCAAATACACACGTATCTGTGGCCCCTGTGGTGCCACAACTTAGCTTCAAAATTCTTTTACTTGTTCTTAGTCAATTCCATCTCCCATTCTGCTCAGGGAGTTCCAAACCTCCCCCACTTTCCTCACCTAGCTCACAACCTCCTCCCCTCAGCAGCCAAGCTCACCCTTCCAGAAAAACTCGCAGTCTTCTTTTTTGTGTGCCAATCAGAATGACATAATTGCCATTTTTCCATTTTTCCCTTCACTACCAGGAAACTCAGTGTCAAAATTAGAGCTCAATTGCTATTTTATCCCAGATTCTCTGGAATAAAATCTCTCCTAAAAGATTTGCAATTTTTAACAAAGAT